>NC_000010.11:17434242-17585757 GCF_000001405.40 Homo sapiens | reverse complement strand
AAGCTTAAAGATATATTCTAAACATTTTAGATTTTTTTTGTGTTCCTGTTATAGCTTTTAAAATATTTTGGTCATTTTTTATTTTGAAATAATTTCAAAGTTACAGGAAATTTGTTAAGAATAGAAGGAAAAGCACCTCTAAACCCTTCACTTGAATTCCCCACTTGTTCATATTTTGCCCCGTTTGCTATAGTTTTCTCTCTCTCTGTTCATAATATGTCCTGAACCATTTGAGAATAAGTTGAAACATTAACCCCTAATTTCTTCAGTGCATATTTCCTAAGAACAAGGACATCGTGCTACCTTGCCACTGTACCATAACCTAAATCAGGAAATCAACACTGATACTGTTATTAGAAGAACTTCAGCCAAATTAAATTTAAAGGAGGTTAATTGAGCAATCAACGATTCGTGAATCGGGCAGCCCCCAGAATCAGCAGATTCAGACAGACTCCAGGGATGCCCTGTGGTCAGAACAAATTTATAGACAAAAAAAGGGAAGTGGCATACAGAAATTGGCAGTGAGGTACAGAAATAGCTGGACTGGTTACATATTGGCATTTGTCTTACTTGAACACAGTCTGAACACTTAGCAGTCTGTGAGTGGTTGAAGTACGTCGTCTGGGATTGGCCAAGACTCAGCTGTTGTTACAGGTGCGTACTCCTAGTTAGGTTATCAATCTTGTCCGCCTATTGAGCTAGGTTACAGTTCGTCCACAAGGACTCAAATATAGAAGTACAGAGTGCTTCTCAGGCCATATTTAGTTTAAGAATCCAATACCTTTATCTAATTGGTAGACCTTATTCCAGTCTCATTGACATGTATGTATGCATGCACATGTATATTCTGGGTCAAGATCCAATCCAGGGTCAGCAATTACATTTAGTTATCATCTCTTTTAGTCTAGAGTGGTTCCTTAGTTTTTCTTCACCTTTCGTGACTTGGACATTTTCCACAGTACAGGATCGTTGTTTTATAGACAGTCCCTCCATTTGAGTTTGTTTGGTCCCTCCGTTTGAGTTCATTTGATGTTTCCTAATGATTAGATTTAATTATGTACCTTTGGGCAGGAATATTAAATTGTTCCATTTTCTGGTGATGTTAACTTTCATGTCTCAGGGTCTTTGTTTCTTAATGTTTTGGTTGCACATGGGTATTTTAATAATAGAAGGAGTTCTAATTTATAGGAGTTTGTGAAACAAGACATTGGGATTTATTTATTTATTTATTTATTTATGTATTTATTTATTTATTTATGGAGACAGAGTTTCGCTCTTGCTGCCCAGGCTGGAGTGCAATAGCATGATCTCAGCTCACTGCAACCTCTGCCTCCCGGGTTGAAGTGATTCTCCTGCCTCAGCCTCCCAAGTAGCTGGGATTACAGGCATACGCCTCCATGCCCGGCTAATTTTTGTATTTTTAGTAGAGACGGGGTTTCACCATGTTGGCCAGGCTGGTCTCGAACTCCTGACTGACCTCAAGTGATCTACCCACTTCGGCCTCCCAAAGTGCTAGGATTACAGGCATGAGCCACCACACCCTGCCTGGATTTTAAAAACCAGATTAATATGGCTGTGATCTCATACATGAAGACTGATGTCTTTTTAAGCGCATAAAAAGCACTAAATTATTTATGCATATGCAATTTCCAGGCATATTATGAACTCAACCTTCACATCGACGTTTGCGCCTCTAGATTATACCCTAGAAAATTCTGGGTATTAATTAATATACTTTCATTTTGCTCAAAAGTTCTTAACTGCAGCATTCTGTTCCGCATTACTTTATACTCTTACCATCTTCTCCTGCTTTGCTAAAATTATATATAATGCAAAACTGAGATTGCTGTAAAAATACATTTTGTTTCTTGATTAATGATCGTGCCTTACATATTTAAATTCAATTTGTACAATTCGAAAATTAACAATTTTTCTTAAATTCAGTTAACATTTTGTGGTTTAACTTTGAGGATAATGACTGTAGAAAAACGGTTTTCAGATCAAATCATTTATTAATCATCTGAGGACCTCAGAATTCTTTCTTTAGAGATTTTGCATCAGCAGCTGTGGGGCTAAGAAACCTGAATTTTTTAGCAAGGTGCTAGGCAGTTATGGTGCAAGCAGCTTAGTTGTCCCACCAGCCTTTAAGAAACACTGCAATAGAGAAAGGCTGGGTGCGGTGGCTCAACCTATAATCCCAGCACTTTGGGAGGCCGAGGCGGGTGGATCACTTGAGGTCAGGAGTTTGAGACCAGCCTGGCCAACAAGGTGAAACCCTGTCTCTACTAAAAATATAAAAATTAGCCAAACGTGGTGGTGGATGCCTGTAATCCCAGCTACTTGGGAGGCTGAGGCAGGAGAATCACTTGAACCCAGGAGGCGAAGGTTGCAGTGAGCCAAAATCACATCACTGTACTCCAGCCTGGGCAAGAGCGAAACTCTGTCTCAGGGTGGGGAGAAAAAAAAGAAATATCAAGAAGGGGTGGGGAGGTGGGGAATGACTTCTAGCAAATGCCATATTCAGTGTACTCAATAGAACCGAAAGAAAAAAAAATCAGCATTCCTACAGTCATGTCTATTGTTTCTTATCAAAATGAACAGTGTAGTTTTAAGTTTATAAAAATGAAAAATGATATCTGCATAGTCCATAGTCTGACAGATATTTTTAGCAAATATTTTATAACCATACAATTTATCTGACCATTCACTTAAGTAGTGTGGCTGGGAAGAAAAAACAATCGTAAAATCCAATTAGGTATTTTTGTTGTATTGAATTTGATGACATGATATAAACTAGATACAACTAGAAAGTAGGTTAAAATATTTTTGGGCCAGGTGTGGTGGCTCACGCCTGTAATCCCAGCACTTTGGGAGGCTGAGGTGGGTGGATGACTTAAGTCCAGGAGTTGGAGGCCAGCCTGGGCAACATGACGAAACTGTCTGTACAAAAAATACAAAAATTAACCAGGCATGGTGTCACATGCCTGTACTTCCAGCTACTTGGGAAGCTGAGGTGTGGGATTGTTTGAGCCTAGGAGGCTGAGGCTGCAGTGAGCTATAATCACGCTTCTGCACTCCAGCCTGGGCAACAGAGTGAGACCTTGTGTCAAAAAAAAAAAAAAAAAAAAGAAAAAAAAATTTTTTTGTAGTAGTGTTGTTACTTAAATAGAACTTCTAGTGTCTTTTTTTTTAATAAGCCCTCCCACAAACAGACACACACACACACACACACACACACACACACACACACACACCCCTTCTTAGGGAGGAATATATTCAAGATTGTGGGAAATGCATATGCTTCTGTTTTTGAGAAATATGCAAGACACAAAATAATTTGTCTGAATGATTTTTAATCTAATCATAAGTTGACTAAAATAGGTTTGTGGCTAAATTAATGTGTTCAGAAGCTGATTTTATTGAGTTAAACTTTCGCTGAACTTTATTAAAACCCTTGCAACAGAAATTAATCTTAAGAAATGAGGAAATGGAAAGGTTAATTTACATTAAGTGTACTCAAGAAGAAAAACTGAATTTAGAACAGTTGTTAGCCTGGAGTCTGTAGATTTTCGTGCATCAAACATTCATTTTTTCAAAGTTACAACTTTATTCGTAACTTGTATGCATAAACATTTGCTCCAAAATCTGGTATTACTTTTTTGTTTCAATTCCAAAATCAACATATATGAGAAATTTCATATAGAAACAATTTATAGCATTAAAAATGTATTACCCACTACAATGTGGCCTGGGTGACAGCGAGACTCTGTCTTCAAAAAAAAAAAAAAAAAAAAAGAAAAGAAAAGAAAAAGAAAAAAAAGAAAAAGTATTACATCTTGTGAGAATTGAAATTTCAGAAAGTTCAAAATACATTTTTTTGAAGTAGAGTTGATACTGTCTGTTTGTAAGTTGTATGAAATAACAATGACAAGTAGCAAAAGTTAGGTGTGAGCATAGCTAGTAAAAAGGTTTTTTAGAAAGTATTATTTTGTGAAAATGTTGGTTATTTTACAAGTTGTATGTTTATAGTTATGACGCATTTTTGCCCCTGGAAAATTCCAAATTATTTAATATGTTTATGGAGATATTATTTGCTTTATTTGTTTTTGAAAAAGCATTTAAAAATATTTCTGTGAATTAACTTTAGATGCTTGTAAACTTTGGAAACATTCAGTTTTCTTACTTAAAAGTATATTTTTAGTTGGATAAACATTAACAGAGGCAAAGAAACCTTTACCACATATATTTTAATGTTTTAGGAATTAAGGCTGAGCTGTTTTAGTACCAATTATAATCTTGTAGTAAATGAAATGGGTTAGTTTAAAGCTATCAGTATTTTCTTAGGGGTAAAGATGGACTTATTAAGTATTTTTTTTTTGGCAAATACTAACAAAATAAAAGTTAGACACAATACCTTAGGGTATAATTGTTATTAGATTCTCATGACAGGTCTTCACAGATTCTCAGTCACAGTAGTGGAATGGTGACATGTGTCATGGTTAAGAGCCAAGGCTTTGGAGTGAAACTTGCCTTAGATTTGGGAAAAAGTACTTAACTTCTAACAAATGCCATATTTAGTGTACCCAATAGAACTGAAAGAAAAAGTACTTAACTTTCTTAAGCCTCAAAGTCCTTATCTGTAAAATGGAATAAGCAGTTGTCTGAGGAGCAAATGATGTAATATCTATAAATTTGTAGCACAGAGGTGGGCCCATATAAGTACCCAATAAATGTTAGTTGTTACTAATGACATTGCTGCTTTTCATGGTTTTATAACAGTCATAGCAGGTGAAATTTCTGAAGTCCTACCTCACTTGTTTCTTGGACGGAATCACTTACGGAGAATAGTTTTGGTAAAATTTTCTTTTCCCGTAGTTTTTTCTGCTTTTACTAGTTTGAAAGATTGCCAGCGTTTAGCTGTTTTCCTTATCTTGAATTAGAAGTAGAAGGCTACAGTTTATTCAGTAGTAGCATAGTAAAGAGGAGTTTCCTGTAGCTCGGTCTCCTTTAGGATATATACAGTATCCTGCTGGTCATGGTTTTTGACAGTGACTATTTCAAATGAGGCAGACACTGGTGAGATATTTTCCAGCCAGCCTGACCCCCTGGCAGTGCTGTTAGGGCAGGCAGAGTGGGGTTTTGCTCTCCTGACATGCCCCAGGGAAGATGGGGGGCGGTGCGGCTACTATCTTCACAACAGAAGATCGTTTAGAGAATTCCATTGAGTCAGCATATTATTAATTTTTATGTATAGGTTTTTTTACATTTATGTAGGGATGCTTATATTTAATCTTAAAAGGTAGTCCTATACAGTTGTATCAGAAACCATAAGAGATCTTTCACTCTCTCAAACCACTTTTTTTTTTTTTTTTTTTTGAGACGGAGTCTCGCTCTGTCGCCCAGGCTGGAGTGCAGTGGCGCGATCTCGGCTCACTGCAAGCTCCACCTCCCGGGTTCACGCCATTCTCCTGCCTCAGCCTCCCGCGTAGTTGGGACTACAGGCGCTCGCCACCACTCCCGGCTAATTTTTTGTATTTTTTAGTAGAGACGGGGTTTCACTGTGTTAGCCAGGATGGTGTCGATCTCCTGACCTTGTGATCCGCCCGCCTCAGCCTCCCAAAGTGCTGTGATTACAGGCGTGAGCCACCGTGCCCGGCCCCAGACCACTTTTATTAACTCAGGTATTATGAAAGGAATCACTGAAGAATATGAAAGCTCAAATAAGATTAAAAAATGCTTTAATACTGTTGAAGTCTTTCAGTTCAAGAGCAGGCAATAGAATGTATAGAATGTTTATCTTATGACCAGATACAACCTCCCAAGGAAAACTGGATCCCACAGGGCAGCTGGTCTCCACAGTTCCTGCCGGGACTACAGTTGCTGGAAGTCATTCAATCACTTTTCTTTTTTTTAAGGGAATTAAGTACAGGTAAAGGAACTCTTCTAGCAAAGATCTTAATAATCTCTTGATTATCAATGTCCATGGAGGCTTTTTAGTCCTTCCTTTGCTTCTGCATTCTTGACCCCTGGCTTCTTTCATGTACTCTCTCCTAATTTGCCTGTCTTTCTGAACGGGTCATTCCAGTTTTCAATAGGTGACTTCTACTTCTTCCTGTCACCAGTGTGGGTGTTGCCTATGGTTCTGTTGTGTGGATTTCTGATACATATATATATAAACATTCTGGAGAGTCTTATTGACAGATTCCACAATTACTTAAACATTGTCAATTCTGGCCTAGATTGCTATGTTAAACTCTAGTCCCTATCTCCAACTTTATGGGCTTTTTATTTTTTAGCTATACCATAGCTGTCTCAAATTAAACTTGTTAAACTGAATGCATCATTTTCATTACTACCACAATCTTCTAATTCTCTGCCCCTCTTAAAGCCATCTCTTCCTGCTGTATTTTCTGACTTTGTGAATGGCACTATTGTCTAGCAATTTAGGTCAAAACCATGACTAGTATTAGATACTTTCCTCTCCATCAAATCTTTTTCAATCCTGTTACCCTACTGCTACTGACTAGGCCTGGATAATGTCAATGCTTATGTGATAAAGGCTGGATACCTTAACCTGGATTTCAAGCTTGTGGGCAAGAACAAATGAAACTATGAAACCATGGGCTGTATAAAGGGTATTAAGTGCCACTCTCTGTTGAACTGTTTGATGAAACTGGCTTTGATGACCCAGAAGAAGCCTTAAATTTGAATGCATTCTGTTCTTTCAAAACTGCTGCTAACCAGTTTTCATGTTTATTACCACTTGCTGCTGCTGGAAAAAAGTTAGGAGCTACTATGTTTTACTCATTTGGTCTTTGAATAATAGCAGCAGTACAAATCCCAGGATTCTCAAAGCAGTTCCAACCACAACAAACCAAAAACTAAACTACAGATAAATGGGAAACAGGTGTGTCCGGTTTGATAAAAAGGGAAAGGGTTATCAGGTGGCCACATCCTTTCCTTGTCATTCATATCCCCAACCTCCAGATCCTCTCTACTCTCATAAGTTTGAATACAGTCAACGTTACTTGGGTCAAAAACTAATGTTGATTATGATTAAAAAGAGAAACAAAACTCAGCACTTCCTTCATTAAAAATAAAGGTTGAGAAACTTGATAAGAAAAAAACTAAAATATTCTTTTTTTTTTTTGAGATGGAATCTCGCTCTGTCACCCAGGCTGGAGTACAGTGGCCTGATCTTGGCTCATTGCAACCTCCGCCTCCTGGGTTCAAGTGATTCTCCTGCCTCAGCCTCCAGAGTAGCTAGTACTACAGGCGTCCGCCACCACGCCTGGCTAATTTTTGTATTTTTAGTAGAGACAGCGTTTCACCATATTGGCCAGGCTGGTCTCGAACTCCTGACCTTGTGATCTGCCCACCTCAGCCTCCCAAAGTGCTGGGATTACAGGTGTGAGCCACTGCGCCCGGCCAAAAAACTAAAATATTCTTATATCTACCTTGGGGAGATCTTAATCCTTCCACATAGACATATCCTTATATCCACAGGAGGCCATGTGGACTAAAACCAAACTGAGTCCATTACTCATTCCCTCACCGGCTCTTCTCGTGGCTCTTCTAAGACCTTTCGGGAGACTTTGAGTGGTTCTTGTGTCTGTGACTACAGTGATGACCTGGGGACTTGGAATGGGATCTGTGCTGCCAATCTCGGGACCTGCTGCGGTGAAGTCTTGGACTCTTGCTCCCATGCCTTTCTCGATGCAGGGAGGGACTTCTCCTTTTGGGAGATCGATTCCACCTTCTGGGAGACCGACTCCTACTCCTTCTGTAGCGCAGTGTGGGAGAGCAACGGGACTTGTCCAAGTCTCCGTAGCTTCTCCGGCGGTGATCAGTTGATGGCACTCTCCAACTTCTCATCCTCCTCTTCTTCCTCTTCACTGGACTCCACATCATCCATGTCCTCTTCCAGAGCACTAACTCAAGGCTCCAGTTGCTCAGCTTCCTCTAATACATAGCGTTTCTGTAGCCGGGGCAGAATGATATCATACTCTCTTACTGTGCAATAGTTCATCAACAAACTCATCAACATGCATCAATTCAAACTCCTCATTTCGGTTCTGGCTCTTGATTTTTCAATAGTCATTGTAGGAAGACTCCAAGTACTTGTAGCAATCAATTGCAATGCCTGTTAGCCTCACGTAAAATGCCCCCAACATGCGGACATACTTGAAATCTTCATTTTTGATAAACTCTACAATGATATCCTTCTCGGGTTGAATTTGAAGCATCTTCAAGGTTTAACACAGAAAGGGTGTTGGTTTTATGTTGCCACCATAGAGGCCACCCACAAACCTTAACTCCATGGCTTTATCGACTGCAAGTTCAGCCGTAAGTCCAAAGCACTCCTCTTTCCAGAACTTGGACTCATAGATTCGCGTTCAAAGATCTTCTCCACCAGATATTGAGGGTTAGTGCCGTGGATGCTGTGTGCATCCTTCACCGTACGGTTAGCCATTTTAGAATCTTTTGTGTATAGTATTAACTGAAGAATATAAAAATTTTATAGCTTTCTCAAATGAAGAGTTCCTTAATCAGATATGATGAAATAATTTCGTTCAGAAATGCTTCATTAATCTGCCATTGTTAGGAATAAGATGATTTTTCAAAAAATTTAAGCTCATTATCCTAAGTCCCTTTTTAAAAAAATGAGATGTAAGTCTCTTTCATCCTCATTGGTATGCAAAATACGGATTATAAATTATCTTCTATCATTTCTAATCTGAAAAAAACAGATGACCAAGTTGCTTAGAATTGATTGAAGTCAAACGGTTCAGCTGTTGTGGTTTTGGATGAGGCAAGTTCACTGGTTTTAATGGGAACATTAAACCTCTACAGGCTGTTCAGAAAGGACAGAATTCAAACAATACAGAATAACACAGGGTAAAACAGTGTCAGTACCTCTTCAGTTATTCCCTTTGCCCAATACTTAGGGCATTAATAAAACTTTGGCGTCCTTTTAAATCTTTATAAAACACTCATTCATTCTTTCCCTTTACACACACACACACGCAGAGGGATAAATACAGGGAAATAATCTATAAATATTTTGTGACTTTACTATTTTGCTTGAACAGCTTCTTGGAGATTTGTGTGCATATGTACGTATATGTACATGCGTTTTCATAATATATACTTCTCTATTGATGGACATTTTGTTTATAATTTATAACTATATAGGTACATAAAACAACCATGTCACAATAAAATGGGGATCACAGTAACGTCAAGATTTGATTTTGATCTATTCATTGAAATTTACTTTGTACAGGCCATGTATTCTTTATCTCATTTGAAAATAACAATGAAATGAGGCATACACTACTGTCATAAACATTTCACCAAGCAAGAATCAGTATCACCAAGGAAGAATCAGGTTAAGTAACAGGCCCAAGTATGTTGTATCTTTGTGCGGTTGAATGCACATATGAGAGATTCCTAAGTGTAAAATTGATAGATTAAGGGGAACACACATTTTAGATTCTGGTAGATGCTGCTAGTTGTACTCCTCCCACAAAAACTACATCAGTTTAATTCCAGCAGCCAGGTATGAGAGCACATTTCCCCATATTCTCACACTAAATAGTGTAAATCTTTTTATTTTTTCCCAATTTGTATTTACTTGATTATTAAAATTGAACCTATTTTCATGTGCTTATTGGTATTATTTGTATTTTTCATTTTTTATTATACTTTAAGTTCTGGGGTATATGTGCAGAATGTGCAGGTTTGTTACATAGGTACACACGTGCCATGGTGGTTTGCTGCACCCATCAACCTGTCATCTACATTAGTTATTTCTCCTAACGCTATCCCTCCCCTAGCCCCCCATCCTGCGATAGGCCTCAGTGTGTGCTGTTGCCCTCCCTGTGTCGATTTCATTGTTCAACTCCCACTTATGAGTGAGAACATGCAGTGTTTGGTTTTCTGTTCCTGTATTAGTTAGCTGAGAATGATGGTTTCCAGCTTCATCCATGTCCCTGCAAAGGACATGAACTCATCCTTTTTGTGGCTGCATAGTATTCCATGGTGTATATGTGCCACATTTTCTTTATCCAGCCTATCATTGATGGGCATTTGGGTTGGTTCCAAGTCTTTGCTATTGTGAATAGTGCTACAATAAACATACTTGTGTATGTGTCTTTATGGTAGAATGATTTCTAATCCTTTGGGTATATAGCCAGTAATAGGATTGCTGGGTCAAATGGTATTTCTGGCTCTAGATCCTTGAGGAATTGCCACACTGTCTTCCACAATGGTTGAACTAATTTACACTCCCACCAACAGTGTAAAAACGTTCCCATTTCCACATCCTCTCCAGCATCTGTTGTTTCCTGACTTTTTAATGATCACCATCTAACTGGTGTGAGATGGTATCTCATTGTGGTTTTGGTTTGCATTTCTCTAATGATCAGTGATGATGAGCTTTTTTTCATATGTTTGTTGGCTGCATAAATGTCTTCTTTTGAGAAGTGTCTGTTCATATCCTTTGCCCACTTTTTGATGGGGTTGTTTGTTTTTTTCTTGTAAATTTGTTTAAGTTCCTTGTAGATTCTGGATATTAGCCCTTTCTCAGATGGATAGATTACAAACATTTTCTCCCATTCTGTAGGTTACCTGTTTACTCTGATGATAGTTTGTTTTGTGGTGCAGAAGCTTCTTAGTTTAATTAGATCCCATTTGTCAATTTTGGCTTTTGTTGCCATTGCTTTATGTTTTAGTCGTGAGGTCTTTGCTTATGCCTATGTCCTGAATGGTATTGCCTAGGTGTTCTTCTAGGGTTTTTATGGTTTCAGGTCTTACTATTTGTATTTTTCCTGTGAATTGCTCTTCCATGTTGTTTGCACAGTATTCTCTTGGATGATGAGTCTTTTTTTAATGATTTGTAAGTGCATAGATAAGTTATGTACGTGCATTTTTTGCCATGTATGTTTCTTTCCATCAGGTGCATGTGTTTGGCTTTGTTTATGATGGCTTTTGTCTTATAGGACATTCAAATTTTTGTGTACAAAATTCTATCTTTCCCCTGATTTTATGTTTTGCTTAGAAGACCTAGGCACCTCCAAATCTTAAGTACACTCTCTTCTATTTTCTTCTTTTATGGCTTGACTAACTTTCTTTTCATTGGAAATTTTGATCGTTCATGGCATAGGATAGAAATCTAATTGTATTTTTGCCTGCATTGATTTCAGAGTATGCCAGCAGCATTTATTAAATAGACCTTTCTTTCTTCCACCAAAATGAAATGCTGCCTACGGTATATATCAGGAGCTCTTTTCATTTCAAGGTTGCTTGGATATACAATCACTATTATAAGACCAGAGAAAGGAGTCTCTGGTCTGTCACACATGCAGGGATTTGTGTGCTTTCAGTCCCACTCTTTTCTTTTCTTTTTTCTTTTTGTCTCTGTATTAGTCCATTCTCATACTGCTATAAAGAAATACCCATGATTGGGTAGTTTATAAAGGAAAGAAATTTCATTGACTCACAGTTCTGTATGGCTGGGGAGGCCTCAGGAAACTTACAATCATGGCGGAAGGGGAAGGGGAAACAGGTAGCTTCTTCACAAGGTGGCAAGAGAGAGACAGCAGTGAAACCCTGTTTCTACTAAAAATATAAAAATTAGCTGGGTGTGGTGGCACACACCTGTACTCCTAGCTAATTGGGAGGCTGAGACAGGAGAATCACTGGAACCCAGGAGGCGGAGGTTGCAGTGAGACAAGATCACACCACTGTACTCCAGCCTAGGTGATACAGTGAGACTCCGTCTCAATAAAAAAAAAGAAAGATTAACTTTTAAGGGCTCATGCGATTACACTGGGCCTTCCTGGATGATCCACGATAATATTCCTGTCTTAAAGTCAACTGATTAGTAACCTTAATTACTCCTGCAGTGTCCCTTTTGGCCTGTAATGTCACATGTTCACAGATGTGACACTAGGTGAGAGTCATGGGGACCAACATTTTGCCAACCACAATAGGTATATACAGATATTAAAAATATTTTGAATTGGATCCTTAAAATATGTACCTTTTACCACACAATTGCATGTAAATAAGAAGTAAAAATTAGTATATGGATATTTACTTGAAGTAGAACTGATCTGACTAAGGGTCAGGTAATGAGTGATGGGGGTGGGTAGTTTGAGCTGTGACTGAAAAGGCAATTAAGATAGTGACATGGAATCAGGGCAGAAAGGCAATTTGGCAAAGAAACAGTCTGAGAAAAGTCACAAGTCAGCTGGGTGCTCTGGCTTACGCTTGTAATCACAGCACTTTGGGAGGCCGAAGCGGGTAGATCACTTCAGGTCAGGAGTTCAAGACCAGCCTGGCCAACATGGTGAAACCCCATCTTTACTAAAACTACAAAAAAAAAAAAAAATAGCCAGGTGTGGTAGCACGCACCTATAATCACACCTACTTGGGAGGCTGAGGCATGAGAATTGCTTGAACCTGAAAGGCAGAGGTTGCAGTGAGCTGAGATAGTGCCACTGCACTCCAGCCTAGGTGACAGAGCGAGACTCCATCTCAACAAACAAACAAACAAACAAAAAGCCACAGGTAAGAAGATACAGAATGTACAAGGAGGAACGAGGAATTCAGCTGGAATCAAGCAAAAGCATGTGTAAGAGCAGGAAAAATTAAGAATGGAGAGATGGATTTGGATCAGGTTATCTGGCATTTCCCATCAGTCATAGATTGGAGTTGAGTGGCTAGAGGCAGGGAAATATTAGAAGACTGTTGCAGGAGGTCAGGCAACAAATAAAGTGGGCCTGAAAAAGCGCTGTGCTGTCAGGAGTCAAGGCGTAGTGATGGTTGTAATAAAGACTGTAGAAATTGAAATGAAAGTGACTTTCCAAAATGAAAGGTGGCATTCTGGCTTGTAGTAGAGACTTCTAGTTGTCCCCCAAATCAGTTCTCCATTTTTCTAGTAATCGAACCCTTCAGTTTTAACTTGGCACTGAGACTAAAGATATTTTTCAGTCTCTCTCCTAGTGAGGCATGGCTGTATGAGTAAGTTCTAGTCAACAGAATGTGAGTGGAAGTGACACGCAGCTTCCAGTAAGCATGCCCTTAGTGGGATATGGATGTCAAGCCAGCGATCCATCTTAGGACATGATGGATCTTGACACTCCCTAAGAATAATGGAGCAATTAAAATAAAGGAACATGGATATTTACCACCATGGAGCAGCTCCAGGGCTGCTGAATACAGCCGTGCAGTTGTGAGCACCATTCCTATAGACCACAGTGTGAATGGGACTCCGTAGAGTTGTGCAGTACACATCCTGCACAACCATACACAGTAGCCCAGAATCACCTGTGCAGGTAGGATAGATTGCAGGAGTAAGTCTTGGGAAGCTTACACCTGGGCTGTTTAAACTACTATTATTTTGGATCTCCGTTTCAGCTTCTGAACCTGTATTACAAGAAATACAAGGTTTTAAATCATAGATAGCACTTGGGTATTTTAGTGTCCTTTGGCAAAGGAAGAAAAGTTGAAAGGAGTAGTAGTCAAGGGGCGAGATGAAGTGAAGATTGCTTGAGGGAATGCTGAGTGCAAAGCACTATGGTAAGAGCCATGGGGAGTATAAAGAAAGCACAGTTCCTGCCCTCCAGGAACTTAAAATCTAGTGGGGACAAATATTTATGCCAATAATTTTACGGAATATCACCCTCAAGAAATGTATAATCTAGTGCAGAAAAATATATTTACCCCAATTATTTTATTATTTTATTTTATTTTTATAGAGGCAGGGTCTTGCCCACACTGGTCTCCAACTCCTGAGCTCAAACGATCCTCCTGCCTTGGCCTCTCAAATTGCTGGGATTCCAGGCATGAGCCCCTGCACCCGGCCCTATACAAATAATGTTAATACACAGGAGTAAAGTGTGGCTTTAGAGGCAACAATCTAGTAAGAAAAAGACATTGAGACCAATAACATTAATATAAGCAGTGAAGCAAATCCTGGAGGTGCCCCTGATATTAGGCAGAATCTAACTAGCTAGCCTCAAGTTTCCAAATCACAACATTTGTCACTTTTCCCTTAAGATATTCTTACATTATGAGATTCAGCACTAATTTTTCTATTTCAGTGCTCTGAGACATCTGGCTTCTGTAGCACATAAGCAGTCTGCCTAGTATATTTTAAAGATTGTTTTTTTCCTCAGACAAAAAGGAAAAATCAATATTTTTTATTTGCACAAGAAAATGAAAACCTGCTTGGCCTCAGAGGAAGCAAACATCTAATTTATTTTACAATGTTTTCTAAATATTACTCTAGAGAAGCTTATATTTATGATAGTATTTGAATATGACCTTTAAAATACATTGTTTGGGTAGTTTCGTTTTAAACAGACTATGATAATAATATAAGGGAAAATGCAGTTGAAAAATGAATGTGTATATGTTTACTGTTTATGTGAGGGCCAACCCCAAATCCTGCAGAACCTTTTCTCAATATTAAGACCATTCTCAATGCAGCAGCATTTGGCTATTAAAGCCCACAACAAATATTTTTTAGGGACCAATTAGGAGAATGACTCTACTGAACCCTGTGGATGCCTGGTTTATAAGACAAATTCGATGTTTTCTAAAATTTTTATTTTAAATTTAATTTTTATTTTTAGTTCTGGGATACATGTGCAGGATGTGCAGGTTTTTTACATAGGTAAACGTGTGCCATGGTGGTTTGCTGCACCTGTCAACCCATCACCCAGGTATTAAGCCTCACATACTTTAACTATTTTTCCTAATGCTCTCCCTCCCTCCACCCCACTCCCCCGACAGGGCCCAGTGTGTTCCCCTCCCTGTATCCATGTGTTCTCATTGTTCATCTCCCACTTATAAGTGACAACATGCGGTGTTCGGTTTTCTGTTCCTGCATTAGTTTGCTGAGGACAATGGCTTCCAGCTCCATCCATGTCCCTGCCAAGGACATGATCTTGCTCCTTTTTATGACTGTATAGTAGTGCGTGGTATATATGTACCACATTTTCTTTATCCAGTCTATCACTGATGGACATTTGGGTTAACTCCATGTCTTTGCTATTGTGAATAGTGCTGCAATGAACATACCTGTGCGTGTATCTTTGTAATAGAATGATTTATATTATTTTGGGTATATACCCTTTAATTTAATTTTTAATATTTTTGTAGACACAGAGGTCTTGCCTTGTCACCCAGGCTTGTCTTGAACCCCTGGGCTCAACTGATCCTCCTGCCTCTACCTCCCAAAGTGCTGGGATTACAGGTGTAAGCCACTGCGCCCGACCCAGTATTTTTTTTTTTTTTTTGAGACAGAGTTTTATTCTGTCACCCAGACCGCAGTGCAGTGGCGCAATCATGGCTCACTGCAGCCTTGACCTCCTGGGCTCAAGTGATCCTCCTACCTCAGCCTCCTAGGTAGCTGGGACTACAGATGTGTGCCACCACACACCAGCTATTTAAAAAAAATTTTTTAAATTAATTACAGCAAAATTTATATCGCTGTTTCCCAGGCTGGTTTCCAACTCCTGGCCTCCAGCAATCCTCCTGCCTCAGCCTCGCAAAGTGTTGAGATTACAGGTGTGAGCCACCACGCCTGGCCTTCTGTATTCTCATACAGTAAGTCACTACCCAAAAGGAGACATAGAAAAATAAAAATAAATAACTAACACACAGTGTTAAGTAGAGGCCCAAAGGTTGTAAATATGTAAGGGAGGAAGGATTATTCTCACTGGGTGAAGCTTGAAGCCTTCATTGGAGTGATGGCTGTGAAAGGATTGGTAACATTTTGACATGCACAGTTAGAAATGTGTATGGGGGCTGGAGAAGGACTGGGAGGAGCGGATGGTGCAAAGAGAGGCAAGGAGCATACAAGATAAAAACAAGGTGGGCCAGACATGGTAGCTCACATCTGTAATCCCAGTACTTTGGGAGGCTGAGGCTGGTGGATCATTTGAGGTCAGGAGTTTGAGACCAGCCTGGCCAACAGGGGGAAACCCTGTCTCTACTAAAAATACAAAAATTAGCTGGGCATGGTGGTGCACACCTGTAATCCCAGCTACTCGGGAGGCTGAGGCAGGAGAATCGCTCCAATCCGGGAGGCGGAGGTTGCCGTGAGCTGAGATTGGGCCACTGCATTCCAGCTTGGGTGATGGAGCAAGACCCTGTCTCAAAACAAAACAAAAACAAAAACAAAAACACAAAAAAACAAGGGGCACATGCTGGGCCTCTCTCGGAGACGCATGGTCTTCATTTAGCAGACAAAGGCCATCAAAGATTTTTGAACCTGGTGGTGACGATCCTGTCTGTCCTTTGGTCATTGTGAGAAAGACTGGAAGGGTCAAAGACTGAAAGCTGGAGACCAGTTTAGGAGGCTGTTGTATGATTCCAGGCAAGAAGTCCTGAGAACCAAAAAGAAGGAACAGGAGTAAAAAGGCAAAGGTGGATGAGGTGTTTGAGACATTCTTGAAAAAGAAGTTTCAGAGTTTGGTTACTGGGAAGAACTGGAAGAAGAAAAGGAGCACCCTAAAATAGTCCTCAGAATTCTTAAGCATGTAAGTTATAACTATAACCTTATAATCTAACATGAAACAAAAATAAAGAAAGCATTGTATTTCCCCCAAAGATACACATTAATAAACTCCCACATATCAGTAAACGGCAAATCTATTTTGCTATTCCCCTGACCTTGCAGTCATTGTTGATGTGACATTTTCTTTCATATTTCTGTTTGCTGGTTTGACCTTCAAAATATATCCAGATGCATGGTCAGTTTTGGTGGCTCAGGCCTGTAATCCTAGCACTTTGGGAGGCTGAGGCGGGCAGATCCCTTGAGGTCAGGAGTTTGAGACCAGCCTACTCAACATGGTGAGACCCCGTCTCTACTAAAAATACAACTATTAGCCAGGCGTGGTGGCACACACTTGTAGTCCTAGCTACTCAGGAGGCTGAGGAAGGAGAATCGCTTGAACCCAGGAGGTGGAGGAAGTTGCAGTGAGCCGAGATCACGCCGCTGCACTCCAGCCTGGGAGACAAAGCAAGACTCCATCTAAAAAACAAAACAAAACAAAAAGCAAAGTATATCCAGATGCAGACATTTCATCCTTCCATGGCTGACCCTATCCTGGGCTGGGCCATCATTTTCTTTTGTCTGTATCATTGCCATTGCCTCCTAACTGGTTTCCTCATTTAATCCCTGGGTCCCTATAGACTACTCTTAACATAGTAATTATTTTATTAAACTAAAGTGAAATTGGTGCTTGTAATCCCAGCTACTTGGGAGGCTGAGGCAGGAGAATCGCTTCAACCCAGGAGGCGGAGGTTGCAGTGAGCCGAGATCACACCATTGCACTCCAGCCTGGGTGACAGAGAAAAACTCCATCTCAAAAATAAATAAATAACGTGAAATCATGTCATTCCTTTTCTCAATACTTTCCAGTAATTACCCACTTCTACTTTTATTATCAGAGTAAGTCAGCGTCCTAACTATGCGGCCTGCTAAGCCCTCCGTAATCTGCTGCTTCTCCTCGGCTGTCACAATCAACTTCTACCTTATTGTCCTTTGCTATTTTGCTCCAGTCACACTTGACACCTTGCTGTCCTCAGAAAATGCCAACCATGCTCCTGCCTCAAGGCCAATGCCCTTGGCACTGCTTCCCTGTGAGTTTTTGCTCAAAATGTCACTTTGTCACAGAGGCCTTCCCTGACTACCCTGTGAGGTAGCAACCCTCTTCCTTCCACTGCATTCTATATCCCCTAACTCCAACTTAATTTTTAAATAACAGTTGACAAAACACATATCTACATAGTTTGTGGGTCCCACTGTGTAGATCATAAACTCAATGAGGGCAGGCCTATTGGTCTTTTTATTTTCCTTTCTTTCATTGTTTCATCACCAACACCTAAAGCAGCTTGGCACAGAATAGGTATTGATTTTTTTTTTTTTTTTTTGAGCCGGAGTCCCTGTTGCCCAGGCTGGAGTACAGTAGCACAATCTCAGCTCACTGCAACCTCTGCCTCCCAGGTTCAAGCGATTCTCCTGCCTCAGCCTCCCGGGTAGCTGGAATTATAGGCGCCTGCCACCATGCCCGGCTAATTTTTGTACTTTTAGTAGAGACGGGATTTCATCATTTGGCCGGGCTGGTCTCGAACTTCTGACCTTAAGTGATCTGCCCGCCTCAGCCTCCCAAGGTATTGAAATATTTATTGAATGAATGAATCAATGAATCCTATCAACAGAAGGTTGAATTCCAGAAGTATGTACTAGATACTTCCGTTGTTAACACTTGTTCGTAACATAGCACCTGATGAGAATTTCTGATAAACTATAAATTGTAACTGGCAACAGAAAAAAATACCTAGTCTAAACAAATCTACTCTCTACCATACCTTAGTACCATGCTACTCAACTATTTTCTAGCAAAACAAAAACTTTTGAGGTGTGGGGTTCGGTTAACAAGTGATTTTGGCATGATTTTTCAAAAGAGCTGTTAAGCTACAGAATTCACTAAGCCATATAACAACTTTATTAAAGAACTATCCATATGCCAACACTGTGCTCTGGGCATGAAGGCATAAAAGGTTGTTCCTGCTCTCAAGGGGATTACAGTCTTTTTTTTTTTTTAAAGGACAAATCAACTTGCAATTAAAAATGTACATGTCAAGTGCTTTGCGAATATGCTATTGGAGTACGGAAGAGGGCCAATTAACTCAGGAGAGACTCTGCAAAGGAGGGCAGGCTGGAGCTGAGTCTTGAGGGATTACGTAGATTTTATTTACACAAAATATAAATAGATGTTTGTTTATTTTTAAAATTTTTTTCTGTGCTGGGCAGAGGCAACAGCAGCCTGACCAAAGGCATAGGGTTCTGAAGGAGTTTGATGGGGAAAATGCTGTGGTTTGCATATGAGTCCCTTCAAAACTCCTATATTGTTACATAAAGCCCAAGGTGATGGTATGAAGAGGTGGGGCTTTTGGAAGGTGACTGGATAGGATTGGTGTCCTTATAAAAGGGCTGGAAGGAGTGAGTCTGTCCCTTTTTTGCCCTTGTAAAAATGCATCAAGAAAGTGCGACTGGGCCGGGTGCGGTGGCTCACTCCTGTAATCCCAGCACTTTGGGAGGCCGAGGTGGGCAGATCACAAAGTCAAGAGATCGAGACCGTCCTGGCCAACATGGTGAAACCTCGTCTCTACTAAAAATACAAAAATTAGCTGGGCGTGGTGGCGGGTGCCTGCAGTCTCAGCTACTCAGGAGGCTGAGGCAGGAGAATTGCTTGAACCTGGGAGGCGCAGGTTGCAGTTAGCCGAGATTGCACCACTGCACTCCAGCCTGGGTGACAGGGAGAGACTCCATCTCAAAAAAAAAAAAAAGAAAAAAAAATGCACCTGTAATCCTAGCACTTTGGGAGGCCGGGGTGGGTGGATCACTTGAGGTCAGGAGTTCCAGACCAACCTGGCCAACATGGTGAAACCATGTCTCCATTAAAAATACAAAAATTAGACAGGCATGGTGGCACATACCTATAATCCCAGCTACTTGGGAGGCTGAGGCAGAAGAATCACTTGAACTTGAGAGGTGGAGGTTTCAGTGAGCCGAGATCACGCCACTGCACTCCAGCCTGGGCAACAGAGGGAGACTCCATCTCAAAAACAACAACAACAACAACAACTAAATTTTGACATATGAATGCATCCTATGGCCATAAGCTCTCAGACTTTCTTTTCTTTGGTTTGATCTTGGGCTATGAGATAGTTTACATGTATCCATCAAAGAGAAACCTGCTGTTATTGGCTGTAGAGTAGTTAATCAATAATTCTGTTTTTCTTTATGATATTGGGTAGGGTATTTTCAGTGTTTATTGATATGATAATTTGAAACCAAACCTATGAAGTTTTTTTCTTAGATGAAAAAATGAAGTCTAATCAGGAAGAAGGGAGATGACAGGTAAGAGAATAGAAGAGTTTATATTGAAAGAGAAAGAATGGAATCAAGGTTTTCTGTATGGGGGCTACAACATTTTAACTTGAGATTTTCTTTCCTGTTGCGTTCCAACTTGTTTCCTTCTCATTTCTTGCTAAAGCTAATTAGAAATCCTCAAACTAGGACAGGCGTGGTGGCTCATGCCTGTAATCCCAGCACTTTGGGTGGCTGAGGCAGGTGGATTACTTGAGGTTAGGAGTTTGAGACCAGCCTGGCCAACGAGGTGAAATCTGATCCCTATTAAAAATACAAAAATTAGCCGGGTGTGGTGGTGGGTACCTATGATCTCAGCTACTGCGGAGGCCGAGGTATGAGAATCACTTGAAGCTGGGAGGCAGAGGCAGCAGTGATGCAGTGAGCCACGATCATGCCACTGCACTACAGCCTAGTCTGGTCAACAGAGTGAGACACCATCTAAAAAAAAAAAAAAAGGAACTCCTCAAACTAAAAGCAGGTAGTAGAGTAAAGCTAGCTACTTTAACCAATGTATCCAGAAGTCTCAGCAGGTTAACATAAAATCAAAAAGGATGGGCGTATAACCCACCTCCGTGCAGTGGATCCAGGGACCTAGGCTCCTTCTATCTTATGGCTATGCTGTCTTTAACATATGCCTTTCAAGATCAACATGACTGTCTTTATCACTCTAGCACAGCAGAAGAGACACACAAATTTGCATGCAGGCAGTTTTTATGGGCCAGATGTGGAAGTAGTATTCATGGATGTTCCACTGGCAAAAACATAGCTGCATAGCTAAAACAAATTATATACAATGCTGGTGCCCAGGAAAGTATAGAATGGTACTTTAGAATCGCATTAACATGGCCAGATGTGGTGCCTCATGCCTGTAATCCCAGCACTTTGGGAGGCTGAGGCGGGCAGATCATTTGAGGTCAGGAGTTTGAGACTGGCCTGGCCAATATGATGAAACCCTGTCTCTATTAAAAACACAAAAATTAGCTGGGCGTGGTGGCGTGCACCTGTAAACCCAGCTACTTGGGAGGCTGAGGCAGGAGAATCGCTTGAGCCCAGGAGGCAGAGGTTGCAGTGAGCTGAGATTGTGCCGCTGCACTCCAGCCTGGGTGACAGAGTAAGACTCAGTCTCAAACAAAACAAAACAAAAAAACAAAACAAAACAAAACAAAGAATTGCATTGACAGTGATTACTAAGATGACCGTTTTTTTCAACGTTTGCATCTATGGAATTCTTGATGCTTTAAAAATAAATTTCAAAGAGCTGTTTATCTAATAGGGACATTTATTTTTCATCTATTGCTTCTCCTGCAAGTTTTCTTCCTCTCTCTGGTTCCTTATAGTTATGGGCTTCCAACACCCCCTCCGCAGTGGACACACGTGCTTTGGCATATGCAAGCTGATTATATTTTGCTTTGTGATGTCTCTCTCTATAATTTGAAACTATAGAAATCCACATTTAGAGGGATCTATATGGGGCTTTGTATTTTATGCCATTGATCTACATGTTTATTTTTTCCATCAATTCTGCCCAGTAGGTAGTTGAAAGGTATTACAGAGATGAGGGAACAATGTATATGATGAAAAAAAGAATCAACCAGTTAAGTTTGCGTTCAATTTCCTTATTCAGTTGATTTGATTTCAGTCTCTCAAATAACAGCTGAGCGTGTGTGTCTGTGTGACTGTGGCAGGAAGATGAGGAGGTGGGGATGGACAAATGAAAGTAGTGAGAGATTGTGGAGGACTGAGATAGAGCTAGTAAAGCTGTGAGCTGCTAAATTGTTTGGGGTTCATGCTGTTGAAGAACAAAATTTCAACATATTTTGTTAAAATATCAAATTGGCTTTTATTAGCAATTCATGAATTAGGTAGCATCTCATTTATGAAATAGAAAAGACCCTCCAATGGGCTGAGCAGAGGAGGTGGGCTTTATAGGCATACAGAGCTGCAGAAGCAGAAACAGGGAACAGAAAGCCAACTGGTCATTTCCAAGTTACTCTACTTCTAGGATTCAGGCTGAGAGAACTTTCTCATCATGCCTATTCAGGGTGACTAGGCTCCTTTTGACTGGCTGCGGTGAGTTTCCTATTCCTTGGAAAACCATTTTAAAGTTCAGTTTGACTATGTGGTACTTAGCATGACTGACTCCATTCTGGTTTGCTCTGGTTTGTTGGGGCTTAGTGCAGGAGCTCAGTCCAAAACAACGCCCTCCTATTAAATTTCATTTGGCAAAGCAATAATGATTCTATATTTGTGTATTGATTTCATGAATTCCAAACAGCTTCTGAATCGTCAGACTTGTTGGAGCACAACGTTGTATTTGATTATTAATATCTGATTTAAACAAGGTTGCAAAATGAGTCATCAATGGCAGTGAACTAAATTCAGGTTCTCATATTTTCCCTAAAACTAATCAAGCGAACAACCTAGAGAGGTATTAAAATTAAGGACACATAAAAATGCTGTCAGGAAGGTAGCAGTGTGGTGTTTAATACAATAATTTTGCTTCTTAGGAAGACAGGATAAGTGACTTTTTGAATAAACACTGCAGTAATTGTGTATAGAATTCATATTTCTTCATGCTGAAAGACAAAAAAAGGAATTACTTTGAGTGCAAAGAAATTTATAGCTCAGTTTTAAGTATGCATTGAAAAGTGGAATTAAAGCTTCCTGAAGCCTATTTGAATTTATAATGAAGGAAATTCAGAAGTAAAGCAGTGTCGACTTGATATTCCCAATGTTGTGACCCTTCCTAAAACTCTTTGGGTTTCTTTATCATATAAAATTTGCTTGCCGCAGAAATATTGGCAGTATATGAAATCTGGACGGAATCCAGAACCTAGTACAGTCCAGGGAAAAATGTTCTTTCGGGCGCTGAATATATAGAGGCATGACACAAACAAGCCTTCATCTATTTATCATAGTTCATGGTCTGGTCATGTCCCCTGCCAAAGCTTTTCTGGGAAGCCGTAAGACGAAAATGATTTGCTGGCCTAGCTTCTGACTTGACTTCATTCCTCTCTGTGGGGGATCACTTTACATTTTCTTAATTGCAGGGACAGCTTGTGTGGTTGGCAGTTGTTTGAATTGAGAAATGGACTTTAAGGAACTACGGTTTCTTTGGCTCAGCTGGAATTTAAGTAGTCATAGACTAAATTAACAGCCACGGTCAAAGCCCAGATGACAGCTGTGTCACAGAAAAGGAAAGGTAAGGGTTTATTTTGTGCTACTATATTAGGATCATGCTCTTAAAATAATGAGTTTTGCAACTTCACACTTTTGAGTCATACTGCCATTTTTTAAAGGTACCAAAAGGCTCCTCCAAGGTAATGTTACGAACCTCAGGTGTCAGGATAGGAAATGTAGCCTGGCCGATTGCAGATAGTAATTTGTTTTAATCTTGTGATTTATAATACGTAGTTTTTGCTTCATTGTGACCGAATGCAATAGGTCGTGAACATTATTTCCATTTAACATCTAAGGTTACAAATGTGAATAAAGTTTAAGTCGCATGGACGAACAGAATAAAAATTAGAACTGTCATCCTTAACCTTTAATTTTACAAGTGGTACCACCTCTACTACTTCTACGGACATCACAAACATTTGTTCTTGCATTTTAAAGACCTTATGCAAATTAAGGCTAGGCACGGTGGCTCATGCCTGTAATTCCAGCACTTTGGGTGGCCGAGGGGGGTGGATCATGAGATCAGGAGTTCGAGACCGGCCTGGCCAACATGGTGAAACCCCATCTCTACTACAGTGACCGGATGGTCGCTCTTCTTGCACATTAAATTTTCATAGGTAGAGTGGGGTTCAGGAGTCGCTTGCTTCAGTGCTAAAATAATGTCACATGCATCCCACCTCTCTGTTCTACTGCAGGGTGGGCTATGTTTTCAGGCCTTAAAAAAGTGACCAGTGATGGTTTCAGGCTCCTCGGTTTAGTTAAAAGAAGTCCAATTTCAAACATGTCCTTCCTCCATTAAAACCAGTGGAAGTGGGGAAAACAACTCTCTTCAGAAACCCTCGAACACCGCAGGATTCAGTGAGTTTGTGTATCTGCTCTTGAACCAATTACTGTGGACGAGTGCATGAAATAATTTGGCTGTGCGAATCAGGGTCCATTTCTGAGGCTAGAGATGGAATTTATGTCACCCAAACCACATGGTTGACAATAAAGTTTCCTTAAAAAAAGTTGGTGTCATAATAAAGGGAGATAATATTTGCTACCAAATAGCGACATTGCATTTATACCATGCTAACAATTAAGAACAAGTACAGAAAACTTTTGCTTCTATACAGAAGTCGGTAAGTAGCAGCAGGTCATAGCTTCTGCTGCAACAATTAGAGCAAGCAGATGAATGACAAAAATCATAGTTTTAAAGACCATGGAGAGACGATCAAGCAAAGAGAACCAGACCAGTGGTTCTCATGCTTTCACATGTGTGAGAATCATCCAGAGGGCTTGTTGAAACAGACTGCAGGGGCCCATGCTGCAGAATTTATGAATCAGTAAGTATGAGTTGGCATTTATTCTGTAATTCTGCAGTAAAGGCAATAAGTCAAGTTGGGGAATGGTGAAAAGAACAAAGGTAGAAAGGACTTGGCATTCCTATTTCAACTTTCTTCAAAGAGTGGAAAAGCTGTTATTTGAAAAAAGGATTTACTTTATTTAGTGTGGTTCTTAAAGGTTGCTGTGGTTTGAATATTGAACATTTGTCTTCTCCAAAACTCACGTTGAAATTTATTCTTTTTCTTTTGAGATGGAGTCTCGCTGTGTCACCCAGGCTAGAGTGCAGTGGCCCCATCTTGGCTCACTGCAATCTCTGCTTCCCGGGTTCAAGCGATTCTCCTGCCTCAGCCTCCCGAGTAGCTGGGACTACAAATGCGTGCTACTGTGCCCAGCCAATTTTTGTGTTTTTAGTAGAGACAGGGTTTCACTATGTTGGCCAGGCTAGTCTCAAACTCCTGACCTCAGGTGATCTACCCGCCTAGGCCTCCCAAAGTGCTGGGATTACAGGCGTGAGCCATCGTGCCTGGCCTCAGGTTGAAATTTAATTCCCAAGGTGGCATCATTGAGAGGCAGGCCCTTTAAGAGGTGTTTCAATCATGAGGGCTCGGCCCTCATGAAGGGATTTCTCCATCACAGATTAATGGATTAATGGATTATCATGGGAGGGGAGCTGGTGGCTTTACAAAAAGAGGAAGAAAGACCTGAGCTAGCACGTTGGTGTGCTCAGTCCCCTGGCCATGTGATACCGTGTGCCCCACTGGGACTCTGTGGAGTCCCCACCAGAAAGAAGCCTCTCATCAACAGATGAACGGATGAAAAAAATGTAGTATATATACACATACACAGGCCAGCATGGTGGCTCACGCCTATAATCCCAGCACTTTGGGAGGCTGGAGGTGGGCAGATCACTTGAGGTCAAGAGTTCAAGACTAGCCTGGCCAACATGGTGAAACCCCGTCTCTACCAAAAATACAAAAATTAGTGGGGGGTTGGTGGCAGGCACCTGGAATCCTAGCTACTTGGGAGGCTGAGGCATGAGAATTCTTGAACCCAGGAGGCAGAGGTTGCAGTAAGCCGAGATCGTGCCACTGCATTCCAGCCTGGGAGACAGAGTGAGACTCCATCTCAAAAAAAAAAAAAAAAAAGAGAAAAGTAAAAAAAGAAAATGTAGTATATATACACAATGGAATATCATTATGGAATTTTATTTCATAAATAAGAATGAAATCTTGTCATTTGCAGCAACATGGATGGAACTGGAGGCCATTATGTTAAGTGAAATAAGCCAGGCACAGAAAAGCAGATGCTCATGTTCTCACTCATGTATGGGAGCTAAAAACAGTGCAACTCATGAAGATAGGGAGCAGACTTGTGGTTACCAGAGGCCAGGAAGGAGTAGGGAAAGGGGATGAAGGGAAAAATAAGGATATAAATGTTTCTGAGGCATGGCTGGGTGCGGTGGCTCATGCCTGTAATCCCAGCACTTTGGGAGGCCGAGGCAGGCAGATTACTTGAGGTCAGGAGTTCGAGACCAGCCTGGCTGACACGGTGAAACCCCATCTCACCTAAAAATACAAAAATTAGCCAGGCATGGTGGCGCGTGCCTGTAATCTCAGCTACTGGAGAAGCTGAGGCAGGATAATTGCTTGAGCCGGGAAGGCGGAGGTTGCAGTGAGCTGAGAAAATGCCACTTGATTCCAGCCTGGGCGACAGAGCGAGACTCCATCTAAAAACAAAAAATGTATTTGAGGCAAGATGGGTAGTCAAGGAAATGACCACGTTCTTGGGACGTAGCAACCGTGGTGACTGTACAGTCAACACAATAAGCCTCAGCATTTGCATTGTAGTTGAGCTCATTCAAGCAAAGTTATCTTCAGTAGGGACTTTCTCCTCGAGAGTGCACACATATTTTGATTTTACCTGTCCTCAAACTCACCCTTTGATCATTATAATAGTAAAAAACACACCCCAGTGTGGAGATTTAAGATGCTAATGAGACATATGATGTATGAAGAAGCATGTACAGCTACTGTACATGTGCACCCAGAAGACCACCCAGAACATGCTTACTAGCAACGCCTCTTCCCACTCCCTCATGAATAATCATGTAAGACTCCCTTTCCCTAGTAACGGTCTTTGCTGTCTCGTCCTTATGAGCAGCTTGCCCTGAATCCTCTCTCCCTGAGGATGTACTGTCTATTCTGTACCTAACTTTCAAAATATTCTTTTTCCTTTGCAATAAATTACTCTATGCTGCATGCCCTACACTGTATGTCTCTTGTTTAAATTCTTTTTTTTTTTTTTTTTTTTTTTCTGAGACGGAATCTTGCTCTGCCACCCAGGCTGGGATGCAGTGATGCAATCTCGGCTGACTGAAACCTCCGTGTCCCGGGTTCAAGCAATTCTGCCTCAGCCTCCCGAGTACCTGGGACTACAGGCACGCACCACCACACCGAGCTAATTTTTGTAATTTTAGTAGAGACGGGGTGTCACCATATTGGCCAGGCTGGTCTGGAACTCCTGACTAGTGATCTGCCCACCTCGGCCTCCCAAAGTGCTGGGATTACAGACGTGAGCCACCGCGCCCAGTCTCTTGTTTAAATTCTTTTAAACTAAGAAGGCAAGAACCGAGGTATCACAACAGCCATCAATGTATTTCTTACCACTGAACTATACACTTAGAAATAGTAAGGATGGTAAATTATAGGTGTATATTTTATCTCAATTAAAAAAAAGACTTTGCCAGATGTGGCTCCTTGATGTTGGATTCTTAGCTTCCATAACTGTAAAAGATAATTCCTTTTCTTTATAAATTACACAGTTTCAGGTATTCTGTTATAAGCAATAGGAAACAGACCAAGACAGAGGTTCAAGGACCTATCATAGGAAGAGTTAGAGGCAGGAAGACTTCTGTATAATTTCTTTGAATACTTTATTTGTTTATTTTACTTCATTTTATTTATTTATTTATTTATTTTGAGACAGAGTCTCGCTCTGTCCCCTCCAGGCTGGAGTACAGTGGCGTGATCTCAGCTCACTACAACCTCTGCCTCCTGGGTTCAAGCGATTCTCCTGACTCAGCCTCCCGAGTAGCTGGGATTACAGGCACCCGCCACCACACCCGGCTAATTTTTGTATTATTAATAGAGACGGGGTTTTACCATGTTGGCCAGGCTGGTCTTGAACTCTTGACCTTAGGTGATCTACGCACCTCGGCCTCCCAAAGTGCTGGGATTTGCTGGATTACAGGCGTGAGCCACCACGCCCAGCCTTCTTGAAATACTTTAGATTGTGTAACAGGGTCACATTTCACCCCTCCTGTTATGTATGTCCTCACACATATGTGTGGGTTTCCCGTCCCTTCCTTTCAGAAGTGGGGTCTTTTTCTTCATCCCTGTGCGTCTGGATCACCCTTGTGGTTTAACTGAAAGAATATGGTGGAAGTGATGTGTACGCAACCTAGAGCTTAGGTGTCAAGAGGCTGTTGAGTTTCTGCCTTCATTTTTTTTAGAATTCTGTCCTAAGATATATAATGAAGTCAGGCTAGTGTGGAGGAGGATGAGAGGTCACATGAGAGAGAAACAAAGAGCTCTAGGCAATAGCCAGTGACATCTGTCAGTCAGGCACGTGAGGCCATCTTGGATCTTCCAGCTCAGATCGTCCCTCAGTTGAAAGCAGCCACCTAATTGAGCCCAGGCAAAACCAGTGGGGGACCACCTAGCCAATCCACAGATAAAGATCACTGTTATTTTAAGACATTAATTCTAGGTGTGGTTTGTTACTCAGTAACAGATCACTGAGACAGTGAAATTTGTGGTCAAGTTGTCCTAAAAATGGTATGGAGCTCCTGTGAGTTAGTGAGTTCACCATCAATGAAGGTATTCAAGTAGCGGGGGAAAGAGGAGGATCATTTGGGAGAAATAATGTAGCGGAAGTTTAAATATCAGAAGAGGGGACTAGATGTTCTTTTTTTTTTTTTTATACGGAGTCTTGTTCTGTCACCCAGGCTGGAGTACAGTGGTGCAATCTCAGCTCACTGCAACTTCCACCTCCTGCGTTCAAGAGATTCTCCTGCCTCAGCCTCTGAATAGCTAGGATTACAGGCGCGTGCTACTATGCCCAGCTTATTTTTGTGTTTTTAGTAGAGATGGGGTTTCTCTATGTTGGCCAGGATAAGACCAGATGTTCTTAAAAGTTTTTTCTGATCACAAGATAATAATCCTAGGGACCTGATTATGTAATGATCATCTTAGGTATGCCTGTCATTATGCACCATATATACAGACCGTTTTCCTGGCAGATGATTTCTATCAAATGAGAGAACAAGATTTACATACATAAGAATTAACAAACAGAAACCGAGTTAAAAATTGGGCGACATAAGAAATCATTAAATATAAATCTTAGAAGTGGAATGGGAGGTGGAACTTGAAGATCATTTGCTTCAGTTTCGCTCCAGTGCTGAGCTTTCCTCAACAACAGCCCTAGTGGATTAATATACAGCCCCTGCACAAATATGTCAAGTGATGGCACCATCCATTTTGGGGCAGGCCATCCTCACTTTTTTGAACGTTCATCCATTCCCACTATTAAGACAAAATTTGCATCCCTGTAACTTTCACACATTTACTCCTTGTCTGCTTTCTAAAACCACAGAGAATAAGTCTAATTTTTCCACATGGCATCTCTTCAAATGTCTAAAGACATTTACCTATTCCTTCAGGTTAAAGACAATCAGTTTCTTTAAATATTCTTTTTTGTTTGTTTGTTTTTAGACAGAGCCTTGCTCTGTTGCCCAAGCTGGAGTGCAGTGGTGCAATCTCGGCTCAGTGCAACTTCCATCTCCCAGGTTCAACCAATTCTCCTGCGCCTCAGTCTCCTGAGCAGCTGGGATTACAGACATGCACCACTACGTCCGGCTAATATTTTGTATTTTTAGTAGAGACAGAGTTTTACCATGTTGGCCAGGCTGGTCTCGAACTCCCGACCTCAGGTGATCCACCCACTTTGGCCTCCCAAAGTGTTGAGATTACAGGCGTGAGCCACGGCTCCCAGCCTAAATATATATATAGTATATATGTGTGTGTGTGTGTGTGTGTGTGTGTGTATATATATATAGTATATATATGTATAAATATATATATAAAATATATATTTTATACATATATATATTTTTGGAGACAGGTCTTGCTCTGTTGTCCAGGGTGGAGTGCAGTGGTGGAGTCATGGCTCACTGCAGCCTTGAACTCCTGGGCTCAAGCAATCCTCCCACCTCAGCCTCCCTAGTAGCTGGGACTACAGTTGTATGCCATCATAGCTAGTTAATTTTTGTATTTTTTGTATATTTTGTAGAGATGGGGTTTCACCATGTTGCCCAGGCTGGTCTTAAACTCTTAGGTTAAAGCTATCTGCCCACCTCAGCCTCCCAAACTGCTGAGATTATAGGCATGAGCCACTGTGTCTGGTTGGTTTCTTTAAATATTCTTTAGGAAATTATTTTGAGACACTATTGTATCTAATTTATACTTTACACAATTTTTTTACACACTTCAGTTTTTAAAAATGTCTTAACATCTGATGCGCAGGACTAAGAACAATATTCCACATATGTTCTTACCAGTGATTCACAGGATGAGACTGTTCATTTCTGTAATGTGGCCGCTATACCTCTGTTTTTGAGACACTAGGATTCCAGGATGGAGGATTTGGGAATGTCTCACTGTAGTATTGTGCTATTGATGTGGAGAGGAGACAAAGAGGGGGACTGTATTTGTCGTTTCTAGAGGGACAGAATATATATAATATATATAACTGATGTATATATTTTTATATATATCATAATATTATATATATTCTCTAGAGTGACAGAACTGATATATATATATATATATATATATCATATATATAGATTCTCTAGAGGGACAGAACTGATATATATATATATATCATATATATAGATTCTCTAGAGGGACAGAACTGATAATATGTAATATCTATTATCTATTATACATATTACCATATATAATCTATAATATAGATATATCAGTTCTGTCCCTCTAGAGGATCTATGTATATTAAATATATTATATTATATATTATTAAATATGTCATATATCATATATATTATTAAATATGTTATTTAATATAAACATAAATATATATATTTAATATATATTTTATATAATATATATCATATCATATATGATATATGATATATAATATTATATGATATATGATATATAATAGATGATATATGATGTGTGACATATATTATATATCATATATGATATGTGACATATATTATATATCATATATGGTATGTGACATATATTATATATCATATATGGTATGTGACATATATCTATATCATATATGATATGTGACATATATTATATATCATATATTATATGGGAGTTTATTAAGTATTAACTTACATGATCACAAGATCCCACAATAGGCTGTCTGCAAGCTGAGGAGTAAGGAGAGCTAGTCTGAGTCTCAAAACTGAAGAACTTGGAGTCTGATGTTCAAAGACAGCAAGCATCCAGCACAGGAGAAAGATGTAGGCTGGGAGGCCTAGCCAGTCTCTCTCCTTTTCACATTTTTCTTCCTGTTTAATATTCACTGGCAACTGATCAGATGGTGCCTACCAGATTAAGGATGGGTCTGCGTTTCCCAGCCCACTGACTCAAATGTTAATCTCTTTTGGCAACACCCTTACAGACACACCCAGGATCAATACTTTATATCCTTCAATCCAATCAAGTTGACACTCAGTATAACCATCACAAGGATAAAAGTCACGTCCTTATGTCACTGCTAATAGAGAGCTGGCTGGCTCTCCCCTTTTTGTCGTCCCCTTATATAAGAAACCCTACTTTGGTGATGGTAAGGTTTCTGTCTTCTCTGTTGGCCAAACCCACTGATCTCATTAACTGCCTGCAGACTCAGTCTGGAACTCACGCGGTTGAAGAGCTCAGTCTTCCTTCCCTGTATCCCCTAGTTGTTGGTCACGTCACTGGAGATTTGCCTGTATTTCCAACCAGCCTGCAGCTGATAGCACTAGACTGAATTTCTCTGATGCACATTCTTCTCTGTCCTTTAATGAAAGTATTGCCAGGAAACATGCAATCCCCACTTTCATTATTTACTCCTCTTAGCCCTGGATCTATGACTTTGGGGAAGCCAACGTGAGACAGAGATGGAGGGAGAGGTGGAGGATGTGGTGGTGGTGATGTTAGGTATGGTGGGTTCTCCGTCTCTATGTCTTCTCTGCCTGGCCATACCAGGCTTTTTTCCCTACTCTAGCAGTACTTATGTGGCCCAGTGAGTGAGACGCCAATTCATCCTGTTACCCACATAACTATAAATTTTTTAATATTAAAAATTATTTTTTGTAGAGCTACAGTCTTGTCATGTTGCCCAGGCTGGTCTTGAACTCCTGACTTTGTGCAGTCCTCCCACCTCAGTCTCTTCAAGTGCTGGGATTACAGGTATGAGCCATAGCACCTGGCCCATATAACCATAAATTCAACTGTTTTGAGGGTTGTGCCCTTGGTTTTGCAAAGGCGAGGACTGCATTCTACCAAAATAAGCCCTCTTCTTTTTCTATCCCATTCATCTTATAGCTCTTGTTAGTAAAGACCATCAAGATATCTAAGGACAAGGACAGACATCTCATACCAAGAACCAGACCCCCACTGAAATGCCGCTTGGGAAATGTAATAACGTCATTCTTCACCGAGATTCCTGCACTATTTTATAACTGAGAGGTGCAAGAGTAGCGACTAACTCACTTTTTATTTTGTTACATGTATCAACTGCCTCTTCTTATTGAGCTTGCAGCCAATTACACTCTATTTACTGACACAAGTGTGTGAAATAGATAATCATTTGGAGAACAGCATGCTAATTATGGGCTAAAAAAAGTTAAGAAAACATTTCATTTGATTTTTGTCCTGAAAAAAAGCATAGGATTGCAATGGGATGAAATTCCAGATTGAAATGGTATGAGCAGGAGTGTGGTGGTGGGACTGTCTTGTGAGTTGTAGGGTGGGGAATGGGAAGAGGGCGATGGGGTTAGAGAGGATGTTAGCTGATCTGCAGATCTGTCCCCACAGTCTTGGCAGACGCTGTTGAATAATTTACAGGTTTCAATTCTAAAGAGTCTTGGATCTAGGCTGAAGAATTTAAACGAGGCTATTGAGAATTTTTGAGAGAGAATTAAATGCAGATATTACATTATATATACATATATACATATATAAAACTATATATGTATATACAAAATATATGTGTGTATATATGTGTAAACATATATACACACATATATTTTTACAAGTATATATTACACACATGTATACATATATACATATTTATATATATTATACATACACACATATATTTAGAGATAGAATTTCACTCTGTTGCACAGGCTGGAGTGCAGTGGTGGCACAATCACGACACACTGTAGCCTCCACCTCCGGTGGTCAAGCGATCCTCCCATCTTAGCCTCCCAGGTGCCTGGGACTACAGGCACACACCACCACACCCGGCTAATTTCTGAATGTTTTCATAGGATGGGGTTTTGCCATGTTGCCCAGGCTGGTTTGAACTCCTGGGCTCAAGCAATTCACCTGCCTCGGCCGCCCAAAGCGCTTGGTGTACAGGCATGTGCCACTGTGCGCAGCCAACATTTGATATTAATATGGTGATCATGTTCAGGATAACCATGAGAGAAGCAAATTAAGCCTTTGTAACATGCAGTTGTAAGATAAAGAAGATTCGAGTCATGGTGGAAAGGAAGGGATTTGTTTGAAAAACACTGAGAAGAGGAAAACAAAATCTTAGAAAATCTGAAACAAAATGAAAGAAACCCTCATTTTGGCCCCAGGTGATGTAGGCCTGTATTTCATAAAAAGGAAGAAGGAACAGAAAGGCAATGGTAGCTGCAGTCTGACTCCAAAAGTCTTGAGAATAGCATAGGTTTTTCTTGTAAGTTTCCTTTTTAGTAGTTTCATTCAGCATCGCACACAGAAGAATTCCTAAACATTCTACTTAGCTACCTCTCACTTCCCCAGATTTTCCTTTTGCGGCAGGCACTAAAAATCCCCTCCTTTATCAATCTCTTCTTTTTCCCTTCTCAGTCTCTCTACTGCTTTTGTTGTTGATCCAGCCTACCCTCCTCCCCAGAATTCTGCACAGGATCCTTCCCTCCATGTGCAGTCTCCTGGGAAGGCCTCGTGTAGGGAAAACTCTCTCTCACCGTGCTTTTCCTCCACCCTCACACCACAACAATCTTCAACACAGAAGATTTCTGTGACGGAATGCTTTTTCCCTCCACATACCAAGCAGTAGACATCATCTGGGCATCCTTTAATCCAGTTTTGACACTATCTACCTGGAGATAGTGTCAGATCCAGTGAGTTGAAGGCTCAGTCCCCCACACTACCCCTCCCCCAAACACACTCTCTAGTTGCAGGTCTGGGCCTCCAGAACTTCTGACCGACCGGCTTCAATTTGGGTTCCCGTGATCTGTTTCAACTCAGCTGATGTGCTGGAGCGGCTCACAGAATTCAGGGAAACACTAGCATTTACTGATTTATCCTAAAGGCTGCTGTGAAGGATGCAGATGAAGAGATGCCTAGGGTGAAATACGGGGCAAGGGGTGCAGAGCTTCCACGCCCTCCCTGGGCCCACCATTCTCCAGGAACCTCCACACGTTTAGCTATCCAGAAATTCCCTGAACCTTGTCCTCTTGGGTTTTTATGAAAGTTTCATGCCATCAGTGTTCCTTCCCCCAGGGTATTGGGTGGGACCTTCTCATGGGAGGGTCTTAAGACCCACAGTCAGAAGGGCAGGGGACTCTTAGAGTCCTGCCTTGGGCGGGTGAAAAGGGGGCAGGAGAGAGATTCTGTGTCTGGAGGTCCGCGCCTGAGGCCTAACACATCCAACTTCGTAACAAAAGTCTTGCAACAAGGGCTATGGGAGTTATGAATCAGTAACCATGGACGAAAACCAATGTACAACATAAGACCACAAGCCTCATCTTCCTTTTACTGGAAAGAAGCTTAAGATAGGGCTTAGAAGTGAGGTAGGAGGTAGGACTCGGACACCGGACCAAATTGAGGATTAGCTAAAATAGAGTGGAGGGGGAAGCAGCTTTCCATAAGACACACCCACCAGTGGGCCATGTCAGTTTACCATTGTCATGGCAACACCTGAAAGTTACCCCTTTCTATGGCAACGACCTGAGGACCCAGAAGTTACCTTTTTTTTTTTTTTTTTTTTTTTTTTTAAGACGGAGTCTTGCTTTGTCTCTCAGGCTGGAGGGCAGTGGTGCGATCTTGGCTCACTGCAACCTCCACTTCCTGGGTTCAAGCATTCTCCTGTCTCAGCCTCCCAAGTAGTTGGGACTACAGTGCACACCACTATGCCTGGCTAATTGTTGTATATTTAGTAGAGACGGGGTTTCACCATATTGGTCAGGCTGGTCTCGACCTCCTGACCTAAGGTGATCCAGCCACCTCGGCCTCCCACACTGCTGGGATTACAGGTGTGAGCCACAGCACCCAGCCTGTTACCACCCTTTTCCCAGAAATTTCTGCATAAGCTGCCCCTTAATTTGAATGTAATTAAAAGTGAGTATAAATAGGACTGCAGAACTACCTTTGAGCTGCTACTCTGGGCACACTGCCTGGGGGGTAGTCCTGTTCTGCAAAGAGCGGTCCCTCTGCTGTTCCTGTACACTGCCGCTTCAAGAAAAGTTGCTGCCTAACACCGCTGGCTCATCCTTGAATTTTTTTCCTGGGCAAAGCCAAGAATCCTCCCAGGCTAAGCCCCAGTTTTGGGACTTGCCTGGTACCACATCAGAAACATAAACTTCGTAATGAGATATTCTGCATCTGAGTTCGAGCCCCTCCACTTACCTGTTCTGTGACCTTGGCCAAATTATTTAAGCTTAATTTCTTCATAAGCTGGATTAATAATCCTACTTACCTAACAGGGTAGAATTAAAGATTGAATTGAAATAATACACGTACAGTGCTTAACATAGCAACTGGTAGACAGTCAATGCTCAATAATTCTCTTCTCTTCCATTCTACTTTTCTCCTAAGAAATAAACCAATACCAAGACCTTTTATACCATGTTATGTGATATGGTTAAAGTGTTGCTGACTCCTTGGCTGGGCGCAGTGGCTTATGCCTGTAATCCCAGCACTTTGGGAGGCCGAGGTGGGTGCAGCATAGGTTCAGGAGTTTGAGACCAGCCTGGCCAATATGGTGAAACTCCGTCTCTACTAAAAATACAAAAATTAGCCAGGTGTGGTGGCACATGCCTGTAGTCCCAGCTACTCGGGAGGCTGAGGCAGGAGAATCACTTGAGCCTGGGAGGCGGAGGTTGCAGTGAGCAGAGATTGTGCCACTGCACTCCAGCCTGGGTGACAGAGCAAGACTCCATCTCAAAAAAAACAAAAACAAAGACAGTATAGGGGACTCCTTTGAGAAGGTCTCAGTCTCCTTTTTTTTTTTTCCATTCAGAATCTAACCTTTTCTCCCTGACCTGTGTGTCTTCTCTGGGGTGAGTGTGAGTCCTCTGGGACCCTCTTGGGGAGCTTTCATCCTCCACTGGGATCTCTGCTGCCTTGTGCCTCCTAGGAGAGTTTGCAATCTCCCAAGACTAGGGCTTAATCCTCTTCCACTAAATCCAAGGGCTGTGTCTCAGGTAGAAAGAACAGGACTGTGCCTTCTCTGGAATCTGTGCCTGCTGGGAGCAACTGGCCACTAACCGTCCCCAACACCTTGATCAAAACACCAGGAGATGAAGATTGGGGAGCTGGACACCTGGCTTTGGGGCACTCTGCCGTGCTCCAAGGAAAACTGGAAATAGGGTCTCTATGCCAATCCTGGCTGAATCTTAGCCTCCAGTCAAGTTTGAAGAGGCCACTTTCCTCTGCTCACTGAGACTTTCTAGGCTTGCTGTCTCCAGCTCAGAGGGAGAGGTGTTCCCACCTCCACGGACCCATATCTACCTTCACACCTTCACTCCAAGCTCTGTTTGGTTATTGCGATGGTTAATTTTTGTGTCAACTTGGTTAAGCTGTGGTACCCAGATGTTTCATCAAACACCAGTCTAGATGTTGCTGTGGAGCTGTGTTTTTAGATATGATTCACATTTAAATCGGTCCACTTTGAGTAAAGCAGATTATCCTCTATAATGTGCATGGGACTCATCCAATCACTGGAAGGCCTTAAGAGAAAAAGACTGAGGTCTTGGAAAGGGGAGGAATTCTGCCTCCAGGCTGCCCTTGGACTCCAGCTGCAACATCAATCTTCCAGCCTGCCGGCCTGCCCTGCAGATTTCAGACCTCCCAGTACCGCAATCTCATGAGCCAATTCTTTACCATAAATCTTTTTCTCTTAACTCTTTCCTCTCTCTCTGTTCCTCTCTCTCTCAATACTCCTGACTGCAATTATCTTATAAAGCCATAACTGCCTTCAAGAGACCCCTTTTCCCTTCTTAGCCTTGAAGAACTTCATCAACACCAAGAATTCAGGAATGAGGAAAATGCATAGTAAATAGCTGGTCAAAGAAGACCCTGGGCTTCTGAAAGATCTCCAGCTGTTCCTTCTCTAACCTCGGCTGGCTTTGGACTCACCTTTCCAAGTAATCTTCTAATTTTTCAAGGATTTCAATTAGTGATCATATCCTATCTGAAATGACTCCCAGTTTAAATATAGTTTCTCTACATCAGATCCAAAGAGCAAAAGAAATAATAAGAGAATAACTGAAACAATAAGCCTTTCCTATGTAAATATTTGGACACGACTACACTGGCAGAGATAATGCTGTTGGATGGCTGCCCCTCCCTGTAGGCCCACCATGAATGTGACCGCTGCAGGTACAGCCAGACTCAAGTATGTTGCATTGGTGCTGCAATCAGTCCTGTGATTTCCCCAAATGGTGAACCACTCTTGGCAAAGTTCCAAAACAAATTTTGGTCATTGCAGTCCTAGAAAATTCAATGTATAAAAACCTGCAAAAAAAGTAACAGTTTGGTTTATAGGTATGTTAGGGAAGCAGGAGCCAAGGAAAGCCAGGGTGACACCATTTTAAGAAGACCTCCATCTTTAAACTAGCAAAGCACATTTCTTGACAGGCGCAACCCATGGTTCCAAGATGCTTACAGCTAAGAAAGCAGCTTGGTAATCCCTGCAAGGACAAACTCCTACAGCATCAGAAAATCCAGATGCCCCAAAACCCATAAGAATATATGTTTTCTAGGTAATAATTGGTATGCTTTGGTGTACTCACACACTAGACTGTCAAGGCTAGTTTTTATTTTCTTTTTCTTTTTTGAGACAGAGTTTCACTTTTGTCACCCAGGCTGGAGTGGAATGGTGCAATCTTGGCTCACTGCAACTTCTGCCTCCCGGGTTCAAGCAATTCTCCTGCCTCAGCCTCCTGAGTAGCTGGGATTACAGGTGTGCACTACCATGCCTGGCTAATTTTTGTATTTTTAGTAGAGACGGGGTTTCACCATGTTGGCCAGGCTGGTCTTGAATTCCTGATCTGAGGTGATCCACCCGCCTCGGCCTCCCAAAGTGCTGGGATTACAGGTGTGAGCCACCGCGCCCAGCCAAGGCTAGTCCTCTTTAAATCAACAGAGTAACACATTTGTCATGATGCCTGCTCACCTGCGCGTGGACACAGCTCAGTGTTTAAGAAAGACTTAAAGCCAGGGCTTTCCTCTACTTCCTTTCTGAGGATGCCTTTCTCTGTAAGTTTCTAATAAACTCGCTTCTTTCACTATGCTCTGTGACTTGCCTTGAATTCCTTCCTGTGACAGATCAAAGAACCCTCTCTTGGGGTCTGGATCAAGACCCCTTTTTTGGGTAATATCTTTATCCAAGTTGAGCTCAGCGAGTCATCAGTAGGTTTTCATCTTCATGCAAGTCCTGAGAGACAGGCACAATCTTGGCTGGACAGGACTCTCCCTGAATTGCAGAAGTTCTCAAATTCCTGATCCCTCCCCGCCAATGCCAGTGATCCTCCCTGTTGCTGTGACAATTTAAACTCTTCCACTTTGATTTCCCCCACAAAGCCCAGGGTAGGCCTGCTGTGGAGAACCACTGATTAGGAAATTCTTTTCTTCATTTTTGAGGTCTTTGCCTTCAAACCAGTGATGAGAAATTACAACTAATTCCTGCACATAATTGAAAAACAAAAGTCAAAAAAAAACTCATTTATTTATCTAGTACTGAACTGTTATAAATGCAAAACAAAATGTTATATAGGCATGAAACAATTATTTGAAGGTCTGAATTTTTTTTTTTTTTTTGAGACGGAGTCTTGCTCTGTCACCCAGGTTGGAGTGCAGTGGCCTGATCTCGGCTCACTGCAAGCTCTGCCTCCCAGGTTCAGGCCATTCTCCTGCCTCAGCCTCCCGAGTAGCTGGGACTACAGGCGCCCGCCACAACGCCCGGCTAATTTTTTGTATTTTTAGTAGCGACGGGGTTTCACCGTGTAAGCTAGGATAGTCTCCATCTCCTGACCTCGTAATCGGCCCACCTCGGCCTCCCAAAGCGTTGGGATTACAGGCGTGAGCCACCGCGCCCAGCCCTGAAATTTTTTTTTAATTGTGGTTAAATACACATAACCTAAAATCGATGACCTTAATTTTTTTTTTTTTTTTGAGAAGGAGTTCCACTCTTATTGCCCAGGCTGGAGTCCAACAGCACAATCTTGGCTCACCGCAACCTTTGCCTCCCGGGTTCAAGCGATTCTCCTGCCTCAGACTTCTGATTAGCTGGGATTACAGGCATCTGCCACCACACCCAGCTAATTTTGTATTTTTAGTAGAGACAGGGTTTCTCCATGTTTGTCAGCCTGGTCCCAAACTCCTGACCTCAGGCGATCTGCCCGCCTCGGCCTCCCAAACTGCTGAGATTATAGGCATAAGCCACCACACCCAGTCAGTGTTTTTATTTTATTTTATTATACTTTAAGTTCTGGGGTACATGTGCAGAACCTACAGTTTTGTTACACAGATATACATGTGCCATGGTTGTTTGCTGCACCCATCAACCCGTCATCTACGTTAGGTATTTCTCCTAATGCTCTCCCTCCCCTAGGTCCTCACCCTCTAACAGGCCCCGGTGTGTGATGTTCCCCTCCCTGTGTCCATGTGTCCTCATTGTTCAGTTCCCACTTATGAGTGAGAACATGTGGTGTTTGGTTTTCTGTTCTTGTGCTAGTTTACTCAGAATGTGGATGAAGCTGGAGACCTTAATGTTTTTTCAAGCGTAAGTTCAGTGGCATTAAGCACATTGTCCTTGTTGTACAACCATCATGATCGTCCACCTCCAGATCTCTTTCATCTTGCAAAACTGTAATTCTGTACCCAATAAACATTAACTCCCTGTTCCCTTTCCCAACTTCTGGAAACCACCATTGTACTTTCTGTCTCTATGAGTTTAACCACTCTAGGAACTTCATATAAGTAGAATCATACAGTGTTGGTCCTTTTGTGGCTGGCTTATTTTTCTTAGCATAATGTCTTCAGGGTCACCCATTTGTAGCATATATCAGAATATTATATTACCCTAAAAAGGATATAGCATATATATCACCATTTTTTTGTTGTTTTTTGTTTTTTGAAACAGAGTCTCGCTTTGTCGCCCAGGCTGGAGTGCAGTGGCACGATCTCAGCTCAGTGCAAGCTCTGCCTCCCAGGTTCACGCCATTCTCCTGCCTCAGCCTCCCAAGTAGCTGGGACTACAGGCGCCCGCCACCACGCCCGGCTAATTTTTTGTATTTTTTAGTAGGGACGAGGTTTCACCATGTTAGCCAGGATGGTCTCAATCTCCTGACCTCGTGATCCGCCTCCCTCGGCCTCCCAAAGTGTTGGGATTACAGGCGTGAGCCACCGTGCCTGGCCTATATCACCCTTTTAAGGTTGAATAATATTCCATTGTATGTGTGCAGTACATTTGTTTACCCATTCAGTCATTAATAGACACTTGGTTTCTTCCACTTTTTGGCTATTAGGGATAGCACTGCTATGAATATGAGTGTACAAATATCTCTTCAAGACTCTGCTTTCAATTCTTTTGGGTATATCCAGAAGTGAAATTGCTGGATCATACAGTAATTTCTATGTTTAATTTTTTAAGAAACTGCCATACTGTTTTCCATAGCGACTGCACCATTTAACATCGCCCTCAGAGCATAAGGGTTCCAATTTCTCCACATCCTTACCAACACTTATTATTTTCTAGTTTGTTTGTTTTTGATAGTAACCTATTTGGTGTGAGGTGACAGCTTTGAACTTTTTTTTTTCTTTTTTTGAGACGGAGTCTTGTGCTGTCACCTGGGCTGGAGTGCAATGGCGTCATCTCGGCTCACTGCAACCTCCACCCCCCAGATTCAAGCGATTCTCCTGCCTCAGCCTCCCTCGTTGTAGCTGGGATTACAGGTGCCTGCCACTACGCCCGGCTAATTTTTTCTATTTTTAATAGAGATGGGGTTTCACTGTGTTGGCCAGGCTGGTCTCGAATGCCTGACCTCATGATCTTCCTGCCTCGGCCTCACAAAGTGCTGGGATTACAGGCGTGAGTCACTATGCCTGGCCAGCTTTGAACTTTTAACAGTTATTTTATTTGTAATGTATCACTATGCTATAAATCACATTCGATGAAAAACAAAGGCTTGTGAATGGATAGTCTAAATTATTAACACATTTTTTTTTCTCTAAAATGTTGATATTTAACTAGTAATATGTGCTCATTAAATACAGTTGTTAAAGGCCAGGTGTGGTGGCTCACGCCTGTAATCTTAGCACTCTGGGAGGCCATGGCAGGTGGATCACCTGAAGTCAGGAGTTCGAGACTAGCCTGGCCAATATGGCGAAACCCTGTCTCTACTAAAAAGTACAAAAATTAGCTGGGTGTGGTGGCAGGCATCTGTAATCCCAGCTAATGGGGAGGCTGAGGCTGGAGAATAGCTTGAACCTGAGATCACGCCACTGCACTCCAGCCTGGGTGACAGAGTGAGATTCTGTCTCAAAAAAAAAAAAAAAAAAAAAGAATGGAATTCTAGCTTTATATGTGTCTAGACAGTCTAGAACAAGGATTGACAAACTGTCCTAACTGTCCTGTGGGTCAAACACAGCTTGTTTCCTGTTTTTGTATAGCCCACAAGCTAAGAATGTTTTTACATTTGTAAGGCGATGTTTAGAAACAAGCAAACAAAAAGACTATTCAATGGAGATGTTCTGTGTCCTGCAAAGCTTAAAATATTTACTCCCTGGCCTTTTATAGAAAATGTTTGCTGACCTCTAAGGCGGAATAGAGACATTTCCCAGCCTCCCTTGCAGCTAGCTGGGTGGGTCTATGTGCCTAGGCTCATGGGTTATGTAAGGAAGTGATGTGTGTAGCTTCTGTGGTATATGCTGAAGGGAGAGGGCATGTTCCTTTTTTTCACCTTGTTTTTCTTACCACTAGGAGCACAAGTATGATGGCAAGCCACATGGATTAGAGGAACAACCTAGAAATGGATAAGTGACATGACTGAAGGAGCCCAAATCTCTAGGTGACTTTGTCAAGTACATACTATACCAACCGCAGATCACTCACCCACGAACAGTTGTGGGAGAGAGAAATACCTTTCCATTTCATTGAAACCACTGTTATTTGGAGTGTGTTACATGCAGCGATATCTAAGATGCCATAGATTGTATGCACCATTAGTTTATATAATGCTAAGGAAGAAAATATGCTTTCAAAATATACTACTTTCCTATGGCCAGCTGCAGTGGCTCACGCCTGTAAATCCCAGCACTTTGGAAGGCTGAGGCAGGAGGATTGCTTGAGCCCTGGAGTTTGAGACCAGCCTGGGCAACATGGCAAAAACCTGTCTCTACAAAAAATATAAAAATTAGCCAGGCACGTGGCACACACACCTGTGGTTCCAGCTACGTGGGAGGCTGAGGTGGGAGGATTGCTTGAGCCCAGGAGGCAGAGACTGCAGTGGGCTGCGATTGTACCACTTCACTCCAGCCTGGGTGATGGGAGTGAAACCCTGTCTCAAAAAAAGAATATACATATATGCGTGTGTGTGTGTGCGTGTGTGTGTGCACTTACATATGTATATATGTATATAACTCCCCTATGCTTTCCTATCACTTAAAAGTTTTTTAAAGGACATTTTAAACAAACAAAAAAAACTCTTATAGGCTTATTTTTGCTGAGGTTAAATGAATTAATTATATATCACTCTTCTGCATACGTGAGGCATACAGACGCTCAAAGAAATACAAGCAAAACAAATTGGTTAGGGTATTACTAAAACTTCAGCTTGCAGTCAAATTCCTCTAAATGAGTTTTGACATGAAATCATCAAGATTTGTGTTTTGCAAAAGATCTTGTCCTCTGTGCCAACAAGGGTGTTGTTGATGTGGCATTTCTTAAATGAGTGTTCCACTCTGGACTCTGGGATAGCCTTCCAAGTGGCTGGCACAGACGCAGAGTTTGGCAGTTTTGATGCTCATGCACACACAATGATAACTGTGTTGCAGTTGCTGCAGGAATGAGATGCATAATTGCAAGGTACATCTCAATCTCAGAGATATTAAAATCTGCAAAAGTGCGTCTTATTTATTTATTTATTTATTTATTTATTTATTTATTTATTTATTTATTCTGAGTCAGAGTCTCACTCTGTCACCCAGGCTGGAGTGCAGTGGTACGACCTCGGCTCACTGCAGCCTCCATCTCCCGAGTTCAAGCAATTCTTCTGTCTCAGCCTCCCAAGTGGCTGGGATTACATGTGTGCACCACCATGCCCAGCTAATTTTTGTATTTTTAGTAGAGATGGGGTTTCACCATGTTGGCCAGGCTGGTCTCGAACTCCTGTCCTCGAGTGATTCGCCTGCCTCAGCCTCCCAAAGTGCTGGGATTACAGGCATGAGCCACTGCACCTGGCCTAAAAGTGCATCTTAGAATCGATGAAATCTGTATTTGCAGAACACTTGGAAATTACTGACAAGCAGAAAGAACAATGTGCACTCTTACTTATATTAGTACTTTGGTGTATTTCCTTTCAGTATCAAGAACATTTTTATTTGTATAGTTATAATCACACCAAACCTATAACTGCTTTCTCCATTAACATGAACATTATTTCATATTGCTCTATTTACTAGAGATGGAGTATTCCATTATGTGGATGTCCAATAATCTGCTTTATTATCTAATTGATCATTTAGTTAATCAAATTCATAAGCCACAGTTGAATTTCCAGATAATTTTAAATGAATGAGAGTCAGGTAGAAAGGAAAATGAAATCAACTATATAAGCTTTAAAGGCTTCCCCTCCGCCAAGAAAAAAGTCCTCAGAATCTTCAATAACAGTTTGAGGCTGGGCACATTGGCTTACGCCTGTAACCACAGTACTTTGGGAGGCCGAGGTGGGAGGATACTTGAGCCCAGGAGTTCAAGACTAGCCTGGGCAACATGGTGACACCCCCATCTCTACAAAAAATTATTTAAAAATTAGCTGTTGTGGCGGTGCACACCCATTGTCCCAGCTACTTGGGCAGCTGAGGTGGGAGGATGGCTTGAGCCCAAGAGGTCAAGGCTGCAGTAAGCTGTGATCATGCCACTGCATGCCAGCCTGGGTGACAGAGTGAGACCCTATCTAAAAAAAAAAAATTGAGATACTAACCTAAGCTATTCACAGATTTTGCAGTGCAAACACTCTTTCCTGGCCTTATCAAATAATACTATCCCATGCTGCACGATCACCAAAAGATACACAGAACTCCCATTTCAGAGTAAGAATGTATTTTGCCCTGAAAAACATTTTATCAAAATGCCTTCTAAGAGTGTTGGAAGAAGATCTTAAATGCTAAGAGTTTAGGTTTTAAGAAAGACCCAAAGAGTGAAAATTACATTAAAAGCAGAATGAAAAACTCAGGTCAGGTTAAGGTTATCTTCTCATAGAAAAAGCTTCAAGGAAGAAGCTAAAAGAAAGAGGTGGTGTGAGTTGAGGGCATGTCAATGGCTTCCTGAAGATGGAGAGGGGAATGAACACAGCCAGAAAAAGAAGGAAAAGAAAGAAAGCAAAAGCAATACCCTCTAAAAGGAAAGATAATCAGAGTCGCAGAAAAGCAATGTCTATTTTATTCCGGACAATTACTTTGGTTGATGTCCCCTTTTATATAAACTTCTGGGTTATTAAAATTTGGAGATAGCCTAGACGGACATTATCACTTACACAATTAAGGATTATGGCGCCTAAAATGACTGTCATGTTTGAAACGCACAGCAGCCAGTCCTGACAGCAGGAAAGAAGAAAAAAGCAGCCCTTAAACACAGCAGGAAGTTCATCCCTGGTTATTCTGAATTTTGACAGGAGCAGCCTGTGGGGACTATCTGGAGCTACAAGATGGAATATTAGCCTCGATTTTATGAATAAGACACAAGAGGTGAGAGCACTTATTGGAAAACCGTTTATTTTGGGTTGTTTATGGATAAAAGGCAATGAAAACTGCAGTGCAAGATACAAAGGAGAAACAGTTTATAGAGAAATGAACTACACATTCAATGTCAAGGTAATATTTTTGAGAATCACATGTTAAATAATTTTAGAATGGTGACATTGATTTTCAAACCAGAAGGAAAGAAATGGAGAGAAAAATACCAGTGTGAAAGGAATTATATCCAGAGGAACTTTTTCTGGCATTATTGTAATCTCAAATAAGCAAACATAGAATGTGTTTGGTTTTAAAAAAATTAATAACATATGCACAGAGTGAAAAAATATTTGTAAATCATATATCTGATAAAGGGCTTGTATTCAGAATATATAAATAAGTCTTACAACTCAACAATAAAAAATAAGAAATAGTTGAATAGACATTTTTCCAAAAAAAATTTGCAAATGGCCAATAACCACATGAAAAGATGTTTCAACCTCGTTATGATTACAGGAATGCAAATCAAAGTCATAATGAGACATCATTGTACACCCACTAGGGTGGCCATAATTTTAAAAACTGGACAATAGCCCAGGTGCAGTGGCTCATGCCTGTAATCCCAACACTTGCGGGGACTGAGGCAGGTGGATCGCCTGAGGTCAAGAGTTCGAGACCAGCCTGACCAACATGCTGAAACCCCATCTCTACTAAAACACAAAAATTAGCCGAGCATAGTGGTGGGCACCTGTAATCTCAGCTACTTTGCAGGCTGAGGCGGGAGCATCACTTGAACTCAGGAGGCAGAGGTTTCAGTGAGCCAAGATTGCGCCCCTGCACTCCAGCCTGGTCAATAAGAGTGAGACTCTGTCTCAAAAAGCAAAAACAAAAACAAACAAACAAAAAACCTGGACAATAATAAGTGTTGGCAAGGTTGGATATCTAAAAATTGGGCCCCTCAAACATTGGTGGTTGTATTAGGCCATTCTTGGTTTGCTATAAAGAAATATACTAGACTGGGTAATTTATAAAGAAAAGAGAGGTTTCATTGGCTCACAGTTCTACAGGCTTTACAGGAAGCATGGTGCTGGCATCTGCTCAGCTTCTGGGGAGGCCTCAGGAAGCTTAAAATTACGACGGAAGGTGAAAGGGGACCAGGCATGTCACTTGGCAAAAGCAAGAGCAAAAGAGGGGGGAGATGCCACACACTTTTAAATGACCATATCTCACAAGAACTCACTACTGCAAAGACAGCACCAAGCCATGAAGGATCTGTTCCCATGACCCAAACACCTCCCACCAGGCCCCACCTCCAGCAGTGGGGATTACAATTCACCATGAGAGTTGGCAGGGATCAATATCCAAAGTATATCAGTGGTAGAGCTGTAAAATGGTGCAGCCAGGTTGGAAAACAGTTTGACCGTATGATGGCCAAAAACAGTTTGATGACCATAGCATCTCAAAATGTTAATCATAAAGTTCCCATATGACCTAGCAATTCCACTCCTAGGTATATACCCAAGAGAAATGAAAACTCTGTCACACAGAAACTTGTACACGAATGTTCATAGCAGCATTATGCATAATAGCCAAAAAGTAGACATACCTCAAATGTCCATCAATAGGTGAATGGATAAATACAAAGAGATATATGCACACACTAGAATATTACTAGGCCCTGAAAAAGAATAAAATACAGATTCATGCCTCAACATGAATGCACCATGAAAACATGCTAAGCAAGAGAAGCCAGTCAAAAAGATCACATACTGTATGGTTCCATTTATGTAAAATGTCCAGAATATATAAATTCATAGAGAGAAAAAGATTTGTAGTTGCCAGGGGTTTGGTGGAAAGAGAAAATGAGGGGTGACTGCTAATGGATATTGTTTTTAGGGGATGATGGAATGTCATAAAATTAGACAGCGGTGGTGCTTGAACAACCCCATGTATGTACTCAGAACCAGGAAATGCACACTTTTTTTTTTTTTTGAGATGGAGTCTTGCTCTGTTGCCCAGGCTAAATTTAGTGCAGTGGCATAATCTCAGCTCACTGCAAACTCCACCTCCTGGGTTCAAGTGATTCTCTTGCCTCAGCCTCCCTAGTAGGTGGGATTACAGGCGCCCACCACCATGCCTGGCTAATTGTTTTATTTTTAGTAGAGACGGGGTTTCACCATGTTGCCCAGGGTGGTCTCGAACTCCTGACCTCAGGTGATCCACCCGCCTCAGCCTCCCAAAGTGCTGGGATTACAGGCGTGAGCCACCACGCCCAGCTTGCACACTTTTATAAATGTGAATTTTATGGTATGTGAATTATAGCTCAAGAAAACTGTTATAAGAATTGATAACAATTACATTTAGACTGTAAACACTGAATTTCTAAAGAATCAGCACAGAGTCAGGTCTCTAGCTTTATATTTTACCTTTTCTTTCTCTTTTAATATTGTGAATAACTATGCTGTCTTTATTTATTGACTGAATCATGAAAGTAAAATTGAAGTGATAACTATTCTGTCATGTGACTGAACCTATCTTGACTTTGCTTTCATTCATTTATTTATTTCCCATTTCATTACAAATTAGGAAGGGAAATAAGACTTTTAATTAATTCTTGAGATAAAGAAAACATATGTACTATTTTTTCATTTTTAACTACTATCTTTGTGTGTTCTGATAAATGTCACATCTTGTTTTTCTCCAGAATATACCATTAAAAAAAGGTATATTCTCCATTGGAGGAGGGATACGGGAAAGAAAAGCATCTGTATTCTTGCTACTTTTACAGAACTTTCTTCACATTTAATTTCTTTTTCTTTGAGACAGAGTCTCGCTCTGTTGCCCAAGCTGGAGTGCAGTGGCCCAGTCTCAGCTCACTACAACCTCTGCCTCCTGAGTTCTAGCGATTCTCGTGCCTCAGCCTCCTGAGTAGCTGGGATTACAGGCGCCCACCAAGCCCAGCTAATTTTTGTATTTTTAGTAGAGATGAGGTTTCACCACATTGCCCAGGCTGGTCTCGAACTCCTGACCTCAGGTGATCTGCCCACCTTGGCATCCCAAAGTGCTGGGATTACAGATGTGAGCCACTGGACCCGGCATTTCATTTAATTTTGATTTTGTATTTCATGTGTACATTTTTATATGCCATGTAATAATTTCAATTGTATATTTTCCTTCAATTAACGTCGTATCAGAAATGCTCTTCTGTGTGATGGCACAGTGTCAGGATCATTGTGGTAAGCAGAATAATCACCTGTTTCCCTTCACCCCCAGGACTATGTCACCCTGTGGCAAGAGAGACTTTGCAAATGTGGTTAAATAAAGCAGTTGAGATGCGGAGATGATCTTGGATTATCCGAGTGCATCTGATGTAATTACAACGGTTCTTATGAGAGAAAAAAGGAGGTGGGAGAAACTGAGGAGATGTGACAGTTGAAGCAGAGATCAGAGTGAGGTGGAGACCAAGGGCTGAGTAATGGGGGCTGCGTGTGAATACCAGAAAAGCAAGAAGACAGATTGCCTCTTAGAGCTTCCGGGAGGAATACAGCCCTACCGATTTCTTTTGGACTTCTGACCTCCGGAATCAAAGATAATAACTTTGTGTTGTTTTAAACCATAAATTTGTGGTAATTTGTCACAGTATCAATAGAAAACTAATATAATCATCATTTTAAATTGTTGCCTGTTGGTTGGGAGTAGTGGCTCACTCCTGTAATCCCAGTGGTTTGGGAGGCCACGGTGGGAGGACCCCTTGAGGCTGGGTGTCCAAGACCAGCCTGCGCAACATACCAAGACCCCATCTCTACACAAAATATAAATAAATTAGCCAGGCATGGTGGTGTGCACCTGCAGTCTCAGCTATGTAGGAGGTTTGCTTGAGCCCAGGAGTCTGAGGTTACAGTGAGTTGTGGTTGTACCACTGCACTCCAGCCTGGGCAACAGGCTGTCTCTTAAAAAAACTTGTTGTCTATTATTTTCATAAGGAACCATAATTTCCCAATCACTTATTTGCTTGGAAAGAGCAAACATCTTGAAACAGCAATTGAATCCATTTAGCCAAGTCTGTGTGTGAAGGTTTGGTTCCTGATTGCAGAGGGTGACCAACTTCCATGAAGCCAGCCATCAGGGTGGTCTGGGGCCATGTCCACTGACACTACCATCTTGTTCTCCTCTCTAAAGAAAGCTTAACGTTGAACAGTACTAGACAGCAGTTTGTCCACCACTGCAAACAAACCTCATTGTTGTCTCAGGCATCACTACTCAAGTAACACAGCTGGGCAGTCACAAGCCCTGAGTACAGAAACCCTATTTTCTGAATGAAGCACTGGGACACAGAATATTTGAAATCAGAACTTTTGGGACATCTGGAACCTATTGTTGTCATACGTCTGAGTCAGTGAGGGATAGTTCATAATCCCCTTAACTGGTGGATAACACCGTAAGCACTTCAGAGAGCAGAACTTCATGTGCCTGCCTTCTTGATTAATGAGCGAGAAACAATCCCAAATAATTGCTTGTTGAAGCACTAGAAGTTTCCATCTTGCCTCTCAAAGTTAGCCTGAATCCAAACAGATGGAAGCACAGTAGCAGTGGCTATGATGGCCATGGAGAGAGACTTGTAAACAAAAGGAGGTAACAGGAATTTCGTTCCAAACCGTGGAAAGCCCAGAGCTTCCCAGCATTCAGATTTTTACTGGGGACAAAAAATTCATGGGACTAACGTTCCGTGAGATTCTTTCAACCTGTGGGCACATAGGCTAGCTTAGGCTACGTGAGTTATATAAACTGTGATATAGAAAGACAGAGTACACATTGTCCAATTAAAAGCACTTACTGTGACACATATGTGGTGATGTGGACTATTGTTAATATGCTGTATGGTGATGAGTGAAATGGCTGCGTGTCCACATGAATGACTGTCATTGGCATTCTTTACAGAAAGAGCCTTTTGTAAATTTTTTCTGGGACGGAATCTTGCTCTGTCACCCAGGCTGGAGTGCAGTGGTGTGATCTCGGCTCACTGCACAACCTCTGACTCCAGGGTACAAGCGATTCTCCTACCTCAGCCTCCTGAGTAGCTGGGACTACAGGTGCCCGCCACCATGCCCAGCTAGTTTTTGTATTTTAGTAGAGATGGGTTTTCACCATGTTGGCCAGGCTGCCCTCGAACTCCTGACCTCAAGTGATCTGCCTATCTCGGCCTCCCAAAGTGCTGGGATTACAGGCATGAGCCACCGTGCCCAGCACAAAAGCCATTTTTAAACATGTGTTTTCCTCTTTTCATTTTCAAAGTTTTCCAGTGTCTGTCATCAGAATCAGATCACTACTTCTCGTTCCATGCTCCCTTTTCTATGTAAATCATCAGACAGACCCACACGGAAAGGCAATGAATGGTCCTGAGTTCCTCCGACGTTCGCCCTGCACTGTTACTCAGGGGCTGAAGTCCCTCGCACATCATCCTCTTTCCATGACACTTCCCAGTTGCTTACCTGAGCGTTCTGGGCAGTGAAACTTGGTGCCAAGACTCTTTGACTTGCTCTCTGCATGCCTAGGTTAGGGAGGGTGGGGTGTCAGAGGACACTGAGCCAGCACTGTGAGAATTGATTATAGAAATTGAGTTATTTTTGTCATACCCAACTAAATAAAAGTCAAGGGACCTGGGAGGGAAAAGCACTCAAGGCACATAGCACCTGCTTCAGGAATCATCCCCAAGCCCAGCTGCTGAAACGACCTGCTGTAACCCTTAGGTATGTTTTACCTGGTAGCTGCTGAAACGACCTGCCATGACCACCCTAAGACTAGTTTTACCTATTGTCGTCACTCACCAGTCAGGGCTTGCCAGCTCCTCAAAGCTCTAGTGCCAATGAGCTTTCTTCCAAAACAATACCTAACACTGAACTTTCTCATAAAACCTCCAATCTTCCCTTTGTTCTTCAAGCATACTGAAGACCTCCTCCGTCTCTGTGTATGCCCTCAATTGCAATTCTGTTTTCCCAAACAAGATGTTTTGTTTAGAGAATCATCTGTGTGTGTGTGTGTATATGTATATGTGTATGTCTATATGTATATACATATATATGTATATACATATATATGTATACATATATATGTATACATATATATACAGATGAATATATACAGATGAATACATATATATATTATACATATATACGCTTTTTTTTTTTTGAGATGGAGTCTCACTCTGTCACTCAGGCTGGAGTGCAGTGGCGTGATCCTGGCTCACTGCAAGCTCTGCCTCCCGGGTTCAAGCAATTCTGCCTCAGCCTCCCAAGTAGCTGGGATTACAGGCACCCACCACCATGCCTGGCTCATTTATGTATTTTTAGTAGAGATGGGGTTTCACCATGTTGGCCAGGCTGGTCTCAAACTCCTGATCTCAGGTGATCTGCCTGCCTCGGCCTATCAAAGTGCTGGGATTACAGCTGTGAGCCATTGTGCCCAGCCTCATCTGTATATTTTTATTTAACTTTGACAGGACACTGTAAAAATTTTCTCTGAAGTTCAGTAGCACCCCAGGGGCAGGGCAGTGGGACCAGTCAGCCCTGGGAACAGGCACTAAGAGGATGCATTGTCTGTAGAGAAGTGGAAAGCAAGGAGAAAAGTGACTGAAAGGGGTTTGGCTTTTTATCATCACCGTGGAGCAGCAATTTTATGTAAAATTGATAAAATATCCCACCCCCTCTTTTTTTATTGTTTTAGATTCTGAACAACCACGGTTTCCTGCTGAATTTTAGTGCTATATATGTATGTCTCAAATAAGAACATTTTAGCTTCTGTTTTCATACACACTGAAGTCTACATAGAAGTTAACTTGGAGAATGTCCAGTTACATAACCGCACACAGACTAAGATGCACGTGGACTCAGCTACACAATGATTGCTTTGAGACTCAGTTTGTCATGGTTTAGAATCATTGGCACTCACTTCAGGCGTGGTTTAGGCCTCCAAAACCTGTGATACTCATATGCATCCCTGTGTTTAAACAGTGGATTAAAAATTTAAAAAGACAGCACAGAGATTGTAAAGACAAAGAAACCAGAAATTGAATTGCTTCAATCTGTCATTCTATGTGACCACTTGACATTTTTAATTTTGTTTAAGATTTCTTGACTGTGGGTACATCTGACACCTGCTAGAATTTATCCTGAAGAAATAAACACATAGACATTATTGCAAGTTCTGGGATTTATTGTAAAATCTCTGCCAAACTTATCTTTGTCTTTAAAACTTTTCCAAACTATTCATGTATCTGTGGCTTTGTGGGAAACAAAGGCTTTCAAACGAAAGTGAATGAAGTGTACTTTGGTCATCGGTGAGCATACATACCTAGATTGAGAGACTCAGCCCACTGTTGCATGACCATATATACAGAAAAGATCAGGTTTTTTTGTTTTTGAGATGGAGAATCTTGCTCTGTTGCCCAGGCTGGAGTGCAGTTGTGCGATCTTGACTCACTGCAACCTCTGCCTCCTGGGTTCACGCCATTCTCCCGCTTCAGCCTCCCGGGTAGCTGGGATTACAGGTGCCCGCCACCATGCCTGGCTAATTTTTGTATTTTTAGTAGAGACCAGGTTTCGCCATGTTGGCCAGGCTGGTCTCAAACTCCTGACCTCCAGTGATCTGCCCACCTCAGCCTCCCAAAGTGCTGGGATTACAGGCGTGAGCCACTGCACCTGGCCAGAAAAGACCAGTTTTGATGAAGTCATTTAGACTTTAAAATAGAACACGTTATTGTTCATTACTGAGATTGAACATAGATAAAAATGTTTCCCCTCATTTTCAAGATAAAAATATAAATCCAATTAAAAAGAATTAATTCATTACCTTTTTCTTTTTTTGTATCATAATATTAATTTTAATTTTATTAACAATGTTTTTTCTGGCATAATCATACAGAGAGAGTTAAAATCAATTTTCACTGTGTTTATTTTCTGGCCATTATTATGATTTATTTCATTGCACGGCTATTACTAAAAATAATTTTGGCCTCTTGGGGGTGGGTGGGCTAACAATGATATGCTGTTGATGTCAAATATGCTAAGTATGCCACTGCTGAAAGACTCAGCGTTTGAGTTTAGTGATAAAGTGACAAGAGGAAGAAGAAGTATTATAGAAAAGAGAAAAGTAGAAGAGGATTAGTGGTGACTCTGTGATTCCGAGTCCTTGTTTTGTTCAGAGAGTGGCTGCCTATGTGAATTGAAAGAGTCTACCTTCAGCACCATTTTGGTTTCAGGAGTGAGAGGAAAGCCATTGTTTCTTCCATTTGTTGGCCATTCCTTTAACGGGAAAGAAAGCTTTTAATTACACAATCAGAACCATAAGGCATATGGCCGGGCGCAGTGGCTCACACCTGTAATCCCAGCACTTTGGGAGGCCGAGGTGGGTGCATCACATGCGGTCAGGAGTTCGAGACCAGCCTATCCAACATGGTGAAACCCCGTCTCTATTAAAAAAATACAAAAGTTAGCCAGGCGTGGTGGCACACGCCTGTAATCCCAGCTACTTGGGAGGCTGAGGCAGGAGAAATGCTTGAACCAAGGAGGCGGAGGTTGCAGTGAGCCGAGATTGTGCCATTGCACTCTAGCCTGGACAAGAAGAGCAAAACTCCATCTCAAAAATAAATAAATAAATAAATAAATAAATATAAGGCATAAAATGTGGATGCCTTCCATTTCCTTAACAAATATTTTTAACTGTCTAATATATGATAATGTTCTCATCGCTGAAATCCAGCAATGAACCAAACAAAGCCCTGTCTTTAGAGAACTTACATTCTACTGGGGAAGACAGACAATGTAAAAATCAAGTAAGAAATAATGTAGTAACTCAGAATAGGGTAAGTGTGAAAAAAGAAAAATAGAGCAGGAAGGGAGATGGGAATGAGGGGGAGAATATATATATATATACATATTAATACTTTAGTGAGGTATGATTTATACATGTTAAAATGCATAAATCTTAAGTGTACAGCTTGAGATACGTCTACACACACACGCACAGACACAAGTGTGATCTCCATTCACATCAAAATATAAGATAGTTCCATTATCTCAGAAAATTATCTCGTGCCCTTTTGTCATCAGTGCCCACACCCTACATGCAACTTCTCTTCCGATTTCCAACAGCAGAGATTAGTATTACATATTCTTGAACGTCACATGAAATCTTACAATATGTACTTTTTTTGTGTCTGGCTTCTTTCAATCACCATAAATAATATTTTCACGACTCATTCATGTTCTAACGTGTATCTGTTGTTTGTTCTTTTTATCACTGAATAGTATTCCATTGTGTGAATAGACCATAATTAGTTTATGCATTCTCTTGTTGATGGACAATTGAGTTATGTCCACTTTTGACCTATCATGAATAAAGCTTTAATCAGTATTTCTGGAAAAGTCTTTTAGTGGACACACTTACCTGTTTCCCTTGGTTAGGAGTAGAATCTGTGGGTCACAGGTAACTCTGTGTTTAACTTTATCAGCAATTGCCAGTTTTTTCAAAGAGGTTGTACTATTTTACACTCACATCAGCAATATAATTCCACTGCCTCCCACCTACCCCAACATCTGCCGGGCTTGCACTGAATCTAAATATTAGTTTAGGGAGAACTGAAATCTTAATACCCCTAAGCTAGTCCATTCCATGAAGATTGTATATCACTCTTATTATGTCTCCTTTATCTCAGCAATGTTTTTAATTTTTAGGTTTGAGTACTCTCCACTCAAAAGTATTTAATGTCATTTATTCTAAGTGGTAACTTAAAAAAATTTAATTTTCTAATTGTTTTTTGTTGGTATATACAGATATAATTGATTTTTCTGCATTGCCCTTGTAACCCACAATCATGCTAAACTCAAATTAGTTCTAGGAACTTGTTGGTTCCTTAGGATTTCTATGTACAAAGCGATGTTATCTTTGAATAACAGTCTAAATTATTTCTTTCCAATTTTTATTATCTCTTTTTGGTGCCTTATTGCACTGGCTACAACCACTAGTACAATATTGAACAGAAGTGGTAAGAGTAGACATCGTTACTGTATTTCTGACTTAGGAGGACAACATTCAACAGTCTATTATTAAGAATGATAGTAGCTGCACGTTTTTTGTTGCCACGTTTTATCCAGTTGAGAAAATTCCCTCTATTATTGGTTTGTGGGTATCATGGAGTAGTATCCCATCCTGTGAATATAGCATAATTAGTTTATATATTCTCTTGTTGATGGACAATTGACTTTTATCTATGACCCAGTATTGACTTTTTTGTTTGTCTGTTTGTTTTTATTTTGAGATAGAGTCTTGCTCTGTTGCCCAGGCTGGAGTGCAGAGGCTGGATCTTGGCTCACTGCAACCTCCACCAGTTGGCCAGGCTGGTCGCGGACTCCTGACCTCAAGTGAGCCACCTGCCTCAGCCTCCCAAAGTGCTGGGATTACAGGCGTAAGCCACCGCACCTTCCCAGTATTGACTTTTATCTAGAGCTTTATTTTCAGATACTGAGATAATTGAATGTTTTGCCTCTTTATTCTGCTAATGTGGTGAATTACATTGTGTTAGTCCATTTGTGCTGCTATAACAGAATACCACAGACTGGGTAATTTATAAAGAATAGAAATTTATTCTCCCAGTTCTGTAGGCTGGGAAGTTCAAGATGAAAGCACTGTTCTTTCAGGGTGGAAGGTGAAAGCGTGAGGAAAAGGGAACCCACTCCAGCAAGCCCGTTTAATAGCAGCATTAATTCATTCATGAGGGTGGAAGCACCATGTCCTAAATACCTCCCATCAGGCCCCAGTTCTCAGTACTATTGCATTGGGGGTAAAATTTCCAATACATGAATTTTTGAGGAACCATTAAAATCATAGCTGTTAAAGTATTTTTCTATCCTAGAATAAATTGTCCTTTTTGTTGACATATTATCCTTTTTATAATATTACCAAATTTGACTTGTTTATATTTTATTAAGGATTTTTGTGTTTATATTTATGAGGACTCTTAGTCTGTAGTTTTCCTGTAATGTCCTTTCACCAATGTTATATTGGCCTTATAAAATGAGTTGAGGCCGGGCACAGTGGCTCACGCCTGTAATCCCAGCACTTTGGGAGGCCGAGGCAGGCAGATCACTTGAGGTCAGGAGTTTGAGACCAGCCTGGCCAACGTAGTGAAACCTCGTCTTTACTAAAAATACAAAAATTAGCCGGGCATGGTGGCAGACACCTGTAATCCCAGCTACTCGGGAAGCTGAGACATGAGAATTGCTTGTACCTGGGAGGTGGAGTTTGCAGTGAGCTGAGATCACACCCCTGTACTACAGCCTGGGCAACAGAGTGAGACTCAGTTTCAAAAAAAAAAAGAGTTGGAAAATGTTCTGTCTTCCTTTTTACACAAAAAGCTTGTGTTCTGTCTCCCTTTTTACACAAAAAGCTTGTGTATTATTGTGATTACGTCTTCCTTAAAAGTTAACTAGGATTCACCAGTGAAATCTGGGCCTGGAATTTTCTTTAAATTAGGCATTGGCCCTTAGTATTTCCTTAATGTCATAGGATCCAGAATGCTGTCCTTTTATTCATTCATGATATTTGTTATAAGTGTTTTTTCTCTTTCTTTTTTTTCCTAAGGATTACTGGTTTTACTAATCTTTCCAAAAACCAACTTTGGTTTTGTTGATTTTCTCCATGTTTTGTCTTTTTTTATTTCATGAGTTTCCTCCTTCATCTATTATTTCCATGCTTTAGTTTCTGTGGGTTTATTTTGCTGTTTGGATTCTAGCTTTTTGAAGTGAAAGTTTAGATCATTGACTTTGAATATTCTCTTTCTAATATGTGCATTTAAAACTAAATAACTTTTCTTCTAAGCGCTGCTTTAGTTGCAGACTATAGATTTTGATGTATCATTTTTATTATCATTTGGCTCAAAACATTTTCTAATTTCCAGTGTGATTTCGTCTTTGATCCATGGTTTACTGAGAAGTGTACTATATCATTTTCAGTTATCTGGGGGGTTTCCTGGTTACTGTATTGTTATTTAGTTCTGGTTTGATTTCCTTGTGACCCACTTCCATAGGCACACTTCATGTCTTTTTCAAGGTAAAGTGCCGTATTTCTTGTAATATCCTTCCTAACCATTTAACATATGGAAAACTGTGCTGCTCTTTTAATTAGGTTACTATTTTTTTAAGGTGTCACTGGCAAAGTATTTGAGTATTGTGCCCCAATGCTACTTTTTCCATAAACTCTGTGGTTTTTATAAGGTCATTTTGAATAGCATGGTGGGTTTTAGTAATGATCATGTTGCACCATGGCAAAACTGACTGGTTTGAGAGAGAAGTTGAGGTTTAACGGATTATGCTGATGAATGGACCATAAGTTTCAATGAACACAGTGGAGGGGGATTTTTGGGAGATAAAGAGCAGTTACAGGGAAGGACAGAAAAGCCATAGGCAGAACTGTAATCTTTTTTTTTTTTAAGACAGTCTCACTCTGTCATCCAGGCTGGAGTATGATGGTGTCATCTCATCTCACTTCAACCTCCACTTCCCAGATTCAAGTGATTCTCCTGCCTCAGCCTCCCAAATAGCTGGGATTATAGGCACATGCCACCACATCTAGCTAGTTTTTTGTATTTTTAGTAGAGACAAGGTTTCACCATGTTGGCCAGGCTGGTCTCGAACTCCTCACCTCAAGTGATCCACCCACCTCGGCCTCTCAAAGTGCTGGGATTACAGGTATGAGCCATCATGTCTGGCCAGAACTATAATCTAATAATCATTAGAACGCAAGATATAAGAAGTGATCTGGGAGTCAGGAGCTGCTGGGACTGAACTAGAGGCAAAGGGTAAAATGGGATTAGTACTGTGGTCTCAAGGTCGACAGTGGCTGCAGGCTGTGAGTGCTGGAGTCAGGAGGGCTGAAGTTCTGGACCCTCATTATTTCTGCCTAAGAAAGCGAGGAAGTATGGAAGTAAGGGGGTCAGTGTAGGTGGGCTTTCTCTAGGCACAAGGGACTCCTTGAGTTAACATTTGTGAGTACTTTAAAGATGAAAATGAAGCAATACTTGGTGTTTGTTTGGATAGGGGCAGGGGATTTAAGAAAAGGAAATGACTATGCCAGAAAATATGGGGTGGGGTGAGGCTGGAGGAACTTAAGCCAGCACAGGAGAAAGAACATAACAAAAGAAGGACATTTGAGACTCAATCGAAACAATTTCAGGGCCTTCCCAGTTTTGTGTTGCTTTATTTTCAGTATCTGAGCAGGAATTGTGATGGATACTTGGCATTACTTCTGTCAAAACTGTCAGGCACTTTATAAAATCGTTTGAGAATGGATGATAACTCTTTGGATAGAAAACATCCTTATTATATTTTAAAGATAAAGTTAACGTTCTTCCACCAAAAAGGTGAGTAAAGAGCTAAAAAGTAACGCAAGAAGAGGATCTCTTTCTCCGCCGAAACCTATTACTCTACCTTTAATATTTTAGTGTATTTCCTTCAAATATTTTCTGTTTCATACTGGTCCACTGGTATGAGTGAACCATAGACTAAAACCAAGAGAGCGTATACTCATTGTTATTTTTTAATTAACTAATTAATTTATTTTTAGACACGGGGTCTTGCTATGTTGCCCAGGCTAGATTGAAACTCCAGGGCCTAAGCGATCCTCCTGCCTCAGCCTCCTGAGTAGCTGGGACTACAGGCATGTGCCACCATGTCCAGCTGTTAATCATTTTTAAAACATTTCTTTCTGGTTTTAAAAATGTGCATCTCCTATTCACAATAGCAAAGACATGGAATCAACCTAAATACCCATCAATGATAGACTCGATAAAGAAAGTGTGGTACATATATACCATGGAATACTATGAAGCCATAAAAAGGAATGACATCATGTCCTTTGCAGGGACATGGATGGAGCTGGAGGCCATTATCCTTAGCAAACTAACACAGACAGAAAACCAAATACCACATGTTCTCACTTACAAGTGGGAGCTAAATGATGAGAACACACAGACACAAAAAGGGGAACAACACACACTGGGGCCCATCAGAGGTTGGATGGTAGAAGGAGGAAGAGGATCAGGAAAGATAACTAACGGGTACTAGGCTTGATATGTGGGTGATAAATAATCTGTATAACAAACCCCCATGACACAAGTTTACCTATGTAACAAACCTGTACTTGTACCCCTACACTTAAAAATAAAAGCTAAAAAAATAAGTGCATCTCAACATAAAAGTCAGGGAATATAGAAAAGTACAAAAGAAATTAAGACTGGTAAGAATTTCACCACCCAGAGGCTTATGTGTTTTCTTGAAGTCTATCTTATTTATTTATTTATGGTTCAACACCATAGTATCCCATTGTATTAGTCTGTTCTCATGCTGCTAATAAAGACATACCCAAGACTGCGTAATACATAAAGAAAAAGAGGTTTAATGGACTCACAGTTCCACATGGCTGGGGAGGCCTCACAATCACGGCAGAAGGCAAAGGAGGAACAAAGCCATGTCTTACGTGGTGGCAGGCAAGAGAGCTTGTGCAGGGGAACACCCATTTACAAAACCATCAGATCTTGTGAGACTTACCCACTATCACGAGAACAGCATGGGGAAAAACCCACCCCCATGATTCAGTTACCTCCCACTGGGTTCCTTCCATGACATGTGGGGATCATGGGAACTACTGTTCAAGATGAGATTTGTGTGGGGACACAGCCAAACCATATCAACCATGTGCAGTAGTTTTAAAGTATAGTTACCATAGGTCTATTCACAGGTTCAACATCAGCATTTCTCAAACTGTGGCCAGTGGACCAGCTACATCAGAAACTCCTTGAGCTTGCTGAAATCCTGATTTTTGTGCCCCATCTCAGAACCACTGAATGAAAGTCTCTGCGGGCGGCGGTAGGCCCTGGAGCTGGTATTTCTACAAACTTCTTAGCTCTTTCTCACAGTAAAGTTTGAAAATAGGATCTAGGTGGATCCTATATATATATATAGGAATCATCCTATATATATATAGGATCCACCTAGCCAATATAAGCCAATATAAAGAGGAACTTAGGTGCAGATGTCTGGCTTATTAGCCTTCTCCAGTAAAAAGAATTGAATCATTGAGGTCATTCAAAAGTGATCCAACTATCACTTGAGGTCAGGAGTTCGAGACCAGCCTGGCCAACATGGCAAAACCCCGTCTCTACTAAAAATACAAAAATTAGCTGGACTCAGTGGCACATGCCTGTAATCCCAGCTTCTCAGGAGGCTGAGGCAGGAGAATCATTTGAACCTGGGAGGTGGGGGCTGCAGTGAGCCGAGATCACACCACTGCACTCCAGCCTGGGTGACACAGTGAGACTCCATCACAGAAAAAAAAAGAAAAAAAAATGTTCACTAGGGGTGGAAGATATGACTCAAAATATTCCCATGCTTAGGAAAAAAACGTAATGATACAACTCAGATCTGAGCTGTAAAGGAAGCATCATTTTAATACACTGTAAATGAAATTTAACCTAAACTAAGTCATTTTTGTTTTGTTTTTAATTGACAAAACATCAATAACAACAAAACACAAAAAATAAAACCAAAAGTGATTAAACTAAAATTTATTCAGCCATAATGTGCCAGGTATTTTACATATGGAATCCAAATTTCCCCATGACTCTGAGTACAAATTTAGTGATATTAAAGATCTTATTTCATGAATTCATGCCCCTAAACTGATAGCACAGTCCAGCTTCAAACCTACCCAGTCAGCTCTGAGACCCTGTGCTGACATCTCCCTTGAGTTTTCTAGAAGCACTTGAGGATCGCGCTTTATTACTTCTGCTGATATTTCCCTTACTTACTTACTGTCTCTCTCTCCTTCCTAGTTCCACAGGTACCTCCATCTCCCTTACACAATCCCACTGGCACCCATTATATTATATGAAGAAATTAAATCGTTTTTATATTGCAACCTAGTTATTAGAGAACACATATTATTATGTATTAAAATGCTAATTCAGGTTTTTAAAATAAAGTATTTCGCTTTCACAAACTAAATTTAAACATACAAATTCTCTGATATTAAGGAAGAGGCATAGCAGTTTGGAGTATGTTCTGGTACTTAAATGGTTTTGCCTTTATTTTTTTACAAAAAAGACTGTGTTTGTCCATGCTTTCATATTTACTCATGTTATTTTATTTATATAGGTTTGACCGGGCATGGTGGCTCACGCCTCTAATCACAGCACTTTGGGAGGCCAAGGTGGGCAGATCACAAGGTCAGGAGTTCGAGATTAGCCTGACCAACATGGTGAAACCCCGTCTGTACTAAAAATACAAAAAAAAAAAAAAAAAAAATTAGCCAGGAATGGTGGCAGTCGCCTGTAATCTCAGCTACTCGGGGGCTGAGGCAGGAGAATTGCTTGAACCCGGGAGGCGGAGGATGCAATGAGCCGAGATTGCACCACTGCACTCCAGCCTGGGTGACAGTACAAGACTCCATCTCAAAAGAAAAAAAAAAAAAAGAACTCTATTTATATAGGTTTATTGCAAATAACATATTCATTCATTTTTGTCAACAAATATTGTTAGAAGGCTTCCTATGTGCAATTCCCGCAAGCATTGCAGATACCCCCACGGGCATGGAATTGCAGAGCAGTGGTGGAATAAACATCAAACAAACCATTACATAAGCAACCTTTAGCAACACGCATGGTCGCGGAGGAAAATGCAGGGTGTGACATATAATGGTACCATTGTTCTAGAATTGCAGGTTGGGAAACTTGTGGAAATTTCCTCAAGTGGAGGCAATAAAGGATGAATTAGAGTTAGCATCATAAACGGTGGAAGAAAAACTATTTCAGGCAGGGAAACTGAATGTACAAAGCCACAGAGACAGGAAAGAGTTTAGGGCATTTGGATAAAAAGAAGCCTACAGTGGCTAAAGCTAAGTGCAGGGGCCCCATTGGGCAGACCATGCAGCCTTTGTTGAGGATTTGGGGTATTTTCCTAAGATGAATAAAAAGCCTTTAGAGGATTTTAGGCAGGGTGGTGCCATGATCAGATGTGTAGTTTGAGATCACCCCGGATGCTCTGTGGAAAATGGGACAGGGTGGGGAGGCATGTAGCTCCAGTCTGAGTCCGAAAGCCCAAGAACCATGAAAACCAATGGTGTAAGTTCCAGGCCAAAGGCCAGCAGGCTTAAGATCCAAGGAAAGCTGAGGTTTCAGTTTGAGTCCTAATGCAGGAAAAGACTGATGTCCTATCTAGGGCATTCAGGCAGGAGGAATTCTCTCTTACTCACAAGACGGTTGGACTTTTTGTTCTATTCAAGCCTTCAACTGATTGGATGAGGTCCACCCACATGAGGCAGGGCAATCTGCTTTGGTCAATATGCCTATTGAAACATTAATCTCACCCGGAATCACCCTCACAGAGATACCCAGAGTTGTTTGACCAAATATCTGGGCACCCTGTGACCCAGGCAAGTGGATACACAAAAGTAACTGTGGTTACACCTTGTATAATAATTAACTCAAGATGGATTAAAGACTTAAATGTAAAACCCAAAACCATAAAAACCCTAGAAGAAAACCTAGGCAATGTCATTCAGGACAGAGGCATGGGCAAAGACTTCATGACTAAAATACCAAAACAACAGCAACAAAAGCCAAAATTGACGAATGGCATCTAACTAAAGAGCTGCTGCACAGCAAAAGAAACTAGCATCAGAGTGAACAGGCAACCTACAGAATGGGAGAAAATTTTTGCAATCTATCCATCTTACAAAGGTCTAATATCCAGAATCTACAAGGAACTTAAGCAAATTTACAAGAAAAAAACAACCCCATCAAAAAGTGGGCAAAGGATATGAACAGACACTTCTCAAAAGAAGGCATTTATGCGGCCAACAAACATATGAAAAAAAGCTCATCATCACTGATCATTAGAGAAATGCAAACCAAAACTACAGTGAGATACTATCTCATGCCAGTCAGAATGGAAATTATTAAAAAGTCAAGAAATAGATGCTGGCGAGGCTGTGGAGAAACAGGAACACTTTTACACTGTTGGTGGGAAAATAAATTAGTTTAACCATTGTGGAAGACAGTGTGGCGATTCCTCAAGGATCTAGAACCAGAAATACCATTTGACCCAGCAATCCCATCACTGTGTATATACCCAAAGGAATATAAATCATTGTACTGTAAAGACACATGCACTCGTATGTTTATTGCAGCACTATTTACAATAGCAAAGACTTGGAACCAACCCAAATGCCCATCAATGATAGACTGGATAAAGAAAATCTGGTACATATATACCATGGAATACTATGCAGCCATAAAAAAGAATGAGATCATGTCTTTTGCAGGGACATGCATGAAGCTAGAAGCCATGATCCTCAGCAAACTAGCACAGGAACAGAAAACCAAACACCGCATGTTCTCACTCATAAGTGTGAGTTGAACAATGAGAAAACATAGACACAGGGAGGGGACAGCACACACTGGGGCCCATCAGTGGGTAGGGGTCAAGGGGAGGGAGAGCATTAGGTCAAATAAAATACCTAATGCACGTGGGGCTTGAAACCTAGATGATGGGTTGGTAGGTGCAGCAAACCACCAAGGCACATGTATACCTATGTAAGAAACCTATACATTCTGCACATGTATCCCAGAATTTAAAGTAAAATTAAAAAAAAAAAGTAACCACACCTCTCGCCTATAATCCCAGCACTTTGGGAACTAAGGTGGGCGGATCCCTTGATGCCAGGCGTTTGAGACCAGCGTGGCCAACATGGTGAAACCTCGTCTCTACTAAAAATACAAAAATTAGCTGCACGTGGTGGTGCATGCCTGTAATCCCAGCTACTTGGGAGGCTGAAGCAGGAGAATCTCTTGAACCTTGGAGGTGGAGATTGCAGTGAACCGAGATTGCACCACTGTATTCCAGCCTGGGCAACAGAGTGAGGCCCTGTCTCAACAAAATAAAATAAAATTTAAAAGAGGTACCATCATACAACTACTCCTAAAAAGAAGAGAGGGTGAAGGCTGGAAGTAGTGTGGTGATGGGGAGTAATGAATGCTTTTGACAAATGAGTAAGAGGCAGAAATGACAGATTTGGATATGAATGAGGGAGAAGGAGGAGTAAGAACTACCGGCAACTTGTAGGATAATTAACTGGGTGAATGACAGTGCCTTTTGTTGGGAGAGAGCGTGTGTGTTCTAGGAGGAAGATTGTGAGTCCACTCTGGACTCACTATGTCAGCAGGACATGCAAGGAGAGCAATATTAAGTAGACAGTGTAGAGTGAGGAGCGTGGGCTGAGCTGTTGCTGTATAAAATGTTTTGTCTTTGATTGAATCTGGGCAGACTAATTTTTTGGAACTAAAAGCATTACTTCCAGACCTCCACTGACTTTTCTGCTCAATTTATTTTATGGTGATTGCAGCCTCCAAATGGATTTAGAAAGAAAGGAGCTGGTTGAAGAGGTGCAGTGAAGGTGAGCAAAGACTGATAGCATCATGAGTATCTCAAAAGTCTACACATGCAGAACAGGAACAGCTGCTCAGTCTTCTCCATGGCCCAGGTCTTATATATCAGACCTGGAAAATAATACTGGAGCAGGAAGAGAGTCTTTCCCTATTCTCTTCAGTTAGTCAGGCTCATTTTGTTTGCAATTCTCTTGGACTTATATTAAGTTGAAATGATCCCCAATACTAGATTTTCCTGGTGGTACTTTTTTTTTTTTTTTCTGTTGTTGCATACCATATTTTAATGGAAGTTCAAAATGCTATACCAGAAGTTACTAGACAAAAACCATTTCAAACTGGTGGTTAAAATTCTTTCTTTCTTTCTTTCTTTCTCTTTCTTTCTTTCTTTCTTTCTTTCTTTCTTTCTTTCTTTCTTTCTTTCTTTCTTCTTTTTTTCTTTCTTTCTTTTTTTTTTTTTTTGTCTTAGTTTCACTCTTGTTGCCCAGGCTGGAGTGCAATGACGCGATCTTTGCTCACTGCAACCTCCATCTCCTGGGTTCAAGCGATTTTCCTGCCTCAGCCTCCCAAGTAGCTGGGATTACAGGCACCAGCCACCACACCTGGCTAATTTTAAATTTCTTGCTTTCTGATTAAAAAATAATAATAATTGGATTTAGTTGAGTCTACATAAACAATATGTTGTTTAGGATATTTCCTTTTAAATATAATCAGAAATGTATAAAAATGGTACTTTATTACATTAAATAATTTCCCCCATTTTTAAAAATTTTTATTTTTAGTAGAGACGAGGTCTCACTATGTTGCCCAGGCTGGTCTCAAATTCCTGAGCTCAAGCAATCCTCCCACCTCAGCCTCCCATAGTGCTGGGATTACAGGTATGCGTCACCATGCCCAGACTCCCCCAATTTTTAAAGGCAGAAAATTGAAAGTGATGATAGGAACTGAACAAGTCCTTTAGTTTTTAAAATTTATATTTGAATAGATCAATAGTTAACATTAATGGGGCATTTTGTTTTATCTCATTGAATGATTTAGGACCCAGAATAAAAAATATAATGATAATATAATGGACCATTATGTTTCTTTCCAGTCAGGGAATATGGTATTACATTTTAAAAATAAGGGTCATGGTATTTACAGAGCAGCAAGAGAACTATATCCTTACCTAAGGATTTAAAATATATATATTATTTAGGCTCTTGTTCTTTCCTGCATATCAAGAGTACTCAAGATAGCCTTCAGTTTAATTCATAATTAAGTTACTAACTAATTCAGTCAGTTGGAAGATGGAAAAAGATAACATAAAGCTGAAATAAATTGAATCAGGGTTTCTTTAATGAAAAGCACAGTAGACCCTTGCACTTCATTCATTTCTTTTGTTTCCCTGGGCTCCTAACCTTATGAACACTTAAAGGAATATATTTTAACTGTAATGTGTAAAACATGTTAGGGTGTCAACAGAACATAAACACTATTTTGACCAAATATCAAGTTATCAAGTTAGTCTTTTCAGTACAAACATAAGGCCATCTTTTATAGTTTTCTTTTGTGCTGGTAAAAGCCTTTCTTCCTTCCCTCCCTTCCCTTCCTCCCTCCCTCCTTCCCTCCCTCCCTTTCTGCCTTCCTTCCTTCCTTTCTTCCTCCATCCCTCCCTTCCTCCTTCCCTCCCTCCTTCCCTCCTTCCTCCCTTCCTCATTTCCTCCCTTCCTTTGTTCCCTCCTTCCTCTCTTTCTCCCTCCCTTGGCCTCCTTTTCACACCCCCTTCTCTCTCCCCCTTCCTCTCTCCTTTGCATTCTTTCTTTCAACAAAGCACTAGACAAAACCATTTTCCCAAAATATGTCATGTCTTAGTCCATTTCTGCTGCTATGACAAAATACCTTAGACTTAGGTAATTTATAAATAATAGAAACTTATTGCTTACATTTCTGGAACCTAGGAAGTCCAAGATCTAGGTGCTAGCAGATTCAGTGTCCGGCAAGGCCTCGCTCTCTGCTTCCAAGATGGCGCCTTGTTGCTGCATCCTTCAGAGGGAACAAATGCAATGTTTTCAAATAGTAGAAGAGATGGAAGGGAAAAAGGGACAAATGTAGTGCCTTCACACAGCGGAAGACATAGAAGGGCGAGGCCCTCTCGGAAACCTCTTTCATAAGGACATGAATCCCTTTCATGAGGCCGGAAGCCCTCGTGACTTAATCACTTCCAAAAGGTCCCACCTTTTAATACTATCATACTGGGCTTTAAGTTCCAACAGTTGAATGTGGGGGAACATTTACATTCAAACCCTACCATGTAGGTGGTATGTTGATGCCTGTGGTACATGTGTACCCTTAAAATACCTACATCTAGTTGGGGAGGACAGATATACATGTACATAATGTAAGAGGGGAAACCAAGAGATTGAGTGAGCTGAAAGTGCACACTAAATTTGGTTGCAGCCAACTCTAGCATTCCAAATTAAAAAATTGGGTTTATGGTGTGGTCTTGGCAGGGCTGAGAGCAAGAGAACTGGCCAGACGGAAGGGGCTCTTTGAAATCACCTCAGTGACTGTAGATGAAGTGATTTGTTGACGACATTTCCAATTTGGTACTAAAAATAAGGATTTTTATGATTGAAACATTTTATGGGCAAAATTAGAAGCCGTTAAAAGCAACATTCAAATCCAAATGACCTCACTTAACCAAGGGCCCACATGACTTTGTGGATCACAGTTGCCAATGTGAATTGCTCTCAGAGGTGAATCCAGAGCCAGAACAGACTGGGGCCCAGTTGTCTGTTGCCAGGACAGACAGGTCAAGCCAGGACCTCTAAGTGAACAAGCTGCTGCACTCCGAAACCTCTGATACTTTGAGCGAGTAGAGAGAATTCAGACTCTGAAACCTCTGATACTTTGAGCAAGTAGAGAGAATTCAGACTCCGAAACCTCTGATACTTTGAGCGAGTAGAGAGAATTCAGACTCCGAAACCTCTGATACTTTGAGCGAGTAGAGAGAATTCAGACTCTGAAACCTCTGATACTTTGAGCGAGTAGAGAGAATTCAGACTCCGAAACCTCTGATACTTTGAGCGAGTAGAGAGAATTCAGACTCTGAAACCTCTGATACTTTGAGCGAGTAGAGAGAATTCAGTCTTGGTAGTGCTTCACTCGATGGTATTATGGATTCAAGACAAAAAAAGTCTTGCAGTTAAATAAGCTTACCAAACACTGAGTAACAACAAAGTTAAACAAGATTTTCTACTGCAGGATTTACTACTCTAAGATTTAGTCCAAGATTTGAACACACTAATGTGAGTGGTGAATTCACAAGAGTATTTCCCAAGTTTATTTGTCCAGCGAGCTCTTTTTCCTAGAGCATTTTCTGAGTTATGGTCCACAAAATACACTTTGGGAAACATTTTATGAGACTAATCTTTGGATATAGCCTAAAGCTGGGCTAACAATATTTTTTTATCCAAAGTGGGAGACTTTGAGAGTATGCAGGGGGCTGTTAATAATTATGCTTGATAGAAAATGTAATCTGGGATTAGCTTGGGCAAATCAGGATGCGTGATTCTCCTAGTTACAGCTAACAAGGGATGTCACAACAGCAGTTATTCTCTGTACATCAATATAAAAGCAACAGAACAGAGTAGGTTGGGTCAGTTCAGGAAAGCAGGTACCACAATGAGTGTAGATATGCAATAGATTTATTGTGTGAAACTTCTGTGAAGGATACAGGGAGAGGGAATAGAAGGGGATGGAGAGAGCTTCAGATGGTAACGTAGGTCTGATACCTGTGAAAAGAGAGAAAGGAGGAAGGAAGGGAGGTAGGGCTGGTTGGTTAGGAAGAGCTTCGGATTGCAGCACAGTTCTCTTTTTTTTTTTTTTTTTGATTTTGACAGAGTCTTGCTCTGTCACCCAGGTGCTGGCATGCAGCGGCGCAATCTCGGTTCACTGCACCTGCCTCCTGGGCTTAAGCAATTCCCCTGCCTCAGCCTCTCCAGTAGCTGGGATTACAGTCGCATGCCACCATACCCAGCTAATTTTTTGTATTTTTAGTAGACAGGGAGTTTCACCATATTGCTCAGGCTGCTCTCGAACTCCTGACCTCAAGTGATCCACCCACCTTGGCCTCCCAAAGTGCTGGGATTACAGGTGTGAGCCCCTGCGCTGGCCCCAGATTGCAGCACAGCTCTGAGAGACTTGACCAGGCTGAGGAGAGCCCCAAGCAAGGGCACCTGTTGGAGGAGTCCCGCACAGGCCAGCTCTGGTATCCCCACTGTGGAAGCAACACAGAGGACTCTTGTCCTCAGAATGAATGTCATGATGGATCCCAGGGGGCGGCGAGTAGAGACTCCCTGCAGTAGACTCTCTGGAAGGAAATCTGAGAGGCATACCGCTGTAGCTACCACTATGATCAACCTGCAAAAGGACAAAAATAGTATTTGCTGAATTACCATTATATTTATTTCAATTCTATTGTTTGTCTCTGGAAATTGCATCTTGGCTAGGTCCCCACAGCCCAGTGGAAGAAGAGGCGGGCATTTCTTCATAACTGGGAGATTCCTCCTTCTCCAAGCAGGCATTCAGTGGACGAGCCATCAAATTACCCGCAAAGATGCATTTCATCCTGAGAAACACTTCATGAATCAGTGAGAGGATTCCGTCCTGGACTTGTTTGTAACCTGGTTTCCAGTGAAATAATATTAAATAGATGTGCTGCTTTGTAATGGCCACAGGACTGTCCTGGCTCTGTGGTCGGTGGTTACATGCATGACTCCCATTCTTGGGAAATTCCAGTATGGAGAAGAGAAAGCAGAATTTCAACTGTTTGAATTCAAGGCCCTGACTTAGGTAGTGAAACACAGTTCTCAGAGATTTCAGTGTGCTCTCTGCAGAAACATGTTGTCTCATCAGAATTGGCGACCTATCTGGTAGATGGCTCTGTCCTCGTCTACAACTGTTAGGCCTTGGTGAAGATGGATTTTCATCAGCAGAGCAAAAAGTAGCATTTGTCTATGATAAATCCATTGTGATCATGGCTCTGCGACAGTTAATTTTATGTATCAACTTGGCTAGGCCATGGTAGTCAGATATTTGCTCAAACACCAGTCTGGATCTTGCCGTGAAGGTATTTTTTAAGGTGTGATTAAATCAGTAGATTTGAAGAATGCAGATTACCCTCTGCTAGAGAACGAGTGTTTGCCCCCCCCACAAATTCATATGTTGATACCTCAGTCCCCACTGTGATGGTATTCAGAGGTGTGGCCTGGGGGAGATGATTAGGTCATGAGAGAGGCACCCCCATGAATGGGATTAGAGCCCTTATAAAAAGAGGAAGGGAGGCCAGGTGCAGTGGCTCATGCTTGTAATCCCAGCACTTTGGGAGACCGAGGCCAGCAGATCACAAGGTCAGGAGTTCAAGACCAGCCTGGCCAACACAGTGAAACCTCATCTCTACTAAAAATACAAAAATTATCTGGGTGTGGTGGCAGGTGCCTATAATTCCAACTACTGAGGAGGCTGAGGCAGGAGAATTGCTTGAACTGGGAAGGCAGAGGTTGCCGTGAGCTGAGATCGTGCCACTGCGCTCCAGCCTGGGCAACAGAGGCAGACTCTGTTTCAAAAACAAAAACAAAAAAACAAAAAAGAGGAGGAGACACAAAATGTCTCTCTCTGCTCTCCACCATGAGAAGATACAACGAGACGGCAACCGTCTGCACAACAAGAAGCAGACGCCAGCCCTCTCAACAGCTTGATCTTGGACTTCCCAGCCCCCAGAACTGTGAGAAATAAATGTTGGTGGTTGTTTATTACAGACTCTCTTACTCCGGCTATGATAATTTGTTGTAGCAGTCAGAATGGATTAGATACCCTCCATCATGTGGGCGGGCTTCATGCAATCAGATGAAGTCCGGAAGAGAAGAAAGGCTGCAGTGTCCTGGGCAAGAGAGAATTCTGCCTCTTGACTGCCTTTGGACTTGAGCTGCAACATCAGCTTCTCCATAGATCTCTACCTGCTGGCCTACTCAGCAGAATTCAGACTTGCCAGTTCCTATAATCCCATGAGCCAATTCCTTAAAATAAACCTCCTTCCATCTCCCATGTAGATACACACATGCTATTGGTTCTGTTCCTCTGGAAACCCCTGACTGATACAGCCACCTAATAGTCAGGAGTCATAATATGCACAACCCTAAATGGTGACGAACTGAAGTACTTGGTAGATTACATTGAAACACCTTATCGGCCAACCCTGTGCATCCTCCTAATGATGGGGAAAACTATAAATAATAATACTGATCGTAGTACTGGCAAAGGGAGAGATTGTAGTCAGAGTACTCTTTTGGAGCGCTTACTAAGTGCTAGGCACTTTACATGTATAATGCTTTGAATCTGTAGTTAACAACTCGATGAAGTGAGCACAGTTGTTCCCATTTTATGCATGAGAAAACTGACGCATAGAGAAGCTATGCAGCATGGCTGAGATCTATAGCTAGGAGGTGGTGGAGGTAGAAAACCAACCCAGGTGGTAAAGTTCAAGAGTCCGTGGTCTTAACCATGGCATTCTATGGCCTGTCGTGCAGCCACACGTGACATGACATGATGCCCACTACATTTCAGCGGTGCCTGCTGGAAAGGCACCGGTCTCCTCTGCTCAGCTTGGTGTCTTCCCTCCACACCCAGATAGGCCAGGGAGCGCTGGTCTATATGTCCTCCTGTCTTCTCCAGAGGCCCAGAAAACACACCTGCCCTGTCCAGTTCCTCCTCTCCCCTCAAAGAAAGCTATGTTTTGGCTTGATTTCTAAGCCCAGGTAATAGAACTTTCTGTGGCAGGACCTCCAAATTTGATCCGCTGTTTCTGGGCTCTCTGGGAGGGTCTAGAGCTGACCTTCGAGATGGAAGACAGGAACTGCTGTGTTGAATGAATGAAACCAACGCCTATGAGACACACAGAGATTGTTCGAAAGGGATTAAAGCTCTGGAGCATGAGAGAGAAATCCATTTTAAACAGGGATCTGAATATCTTTGTGCCTATGGATCTCTTCTCAGAATGATGTTTTAAAATGCATTAAACAGGATACATAGGATTACAAAGCACACCAATTCTATTGAAATGTAGTTACCAGCTGGGCGTGGTGGCTCACGCCTGTAATGCCAGCACTTTGGGAGGCTGAGGCAAGGGAATCACAAGGTCAGGAGTTTGAGACCAGCCTGACCAACATGGTGAAACCCCATCCCTACTAAAAATACAAAAAATTAGCCAGGCATAGTGGCGGGTGCCTGTAATCTCAGCTACTGCGGAGGCTAAGGCAGGAGAATAGTTTGAACCTGGGATGCGGAGCTTGCAGTGAGCCGAGATCATTCCACTGCACTCCAGCCTGGGCAACAAAGCGAGACTCCAACTCAAAAAAAAAAAAAAAAAAGAAATGTAGTTACCAAACTATTAAAAATGTATTTGCAATGTAGCAATATAGGTGCTTCTTTATTGGCATCTGAACATAAGATTTAGTTATGTTAGTCTTGTGACTAGCAGAATTTCAAAGTAGTGAGTAGGTAGAAGTGATCTTCTGACATATCTGCAAATTGCTGTGATATGAAAATATATGTGATTTCAAGTGGTCATAAAACCACAGGTATTGCTAATACTGTTACAGTTTGTTACCAATATTTATAAGTGAAGAAAATGCTAGATTTCAGTGAACAGATAGTGAAAATAAAGATGTCATTTCCCCCTGATGCAAGTTTTATGATTGCCATATTAAAAACCATTGTTTTGGGTCGGGTGCAGTGGCTCATGCCTGTAATCCCAGCACTTTGGGAGGCCGAGGTGGGAGGATCACTTGAGGTCAGAAGATTGAGACCAGCCTGGCCAACATGATGTAAACCCCGTCTCTGCTAAAAATGCAAAAATTAGCCAAGTGTGGTGGGTCATGCCTGTAATCCCAGCTACTTGGGAGGCTGAGGCAGGAGAAAGGCTTGAACCCAGGAGGCAAAGGTTACATCAGTGAGCCAAGATTGTGCCACTGCACTCTAACCTGCTGAGCAACAGAGCAAGACTCTATCTCAAAAAAAAAAAAAAACCCCACAAAAAACAAACAAACAAAAAAACCTAAACCATTGTTTTAAAAGTTTCTAGACACTTCTCACTCAGATGGAGACCAAAAATCACCTTTGACAGTGACTTTTATTTTTCATTCTTGGAAGGATCACTTGTGTGGCCTCTGTCTACCCAGACACGGAGGTGCCTAACTGCTCTGTGGAGTGGATCATGCAATACTATTTGTTGTTTGACAAAGTCTCTGCTCTATAATCTTTAAAGTATTGGGTTTGGGGAAGTAGACAGGAGGGACATTCTTACACAGGGCTCCGGGAACCTCCAAGGAAACAGAGACCTCAATCTCTTCCCTTTGGAATTTAAGGGAGCTGTGGTTACAAGTACCGGCTCTGGAGTCCGCCTTCCTAGGTTCAAATCCTCCCGCCAGTTACAAGCTATGCTACCTAATCTCTTGATAGCTCCATTCCTTCATCAGAAAAATGTGGCAAAAGTTGAAAGGATTCCTATGAGAATTAAATGAACAAAGTACTTAGAACAGGCTTTTAAGTATTAATGTCATTACTGTTTCTGTTATTGAAGAACTGCTTTGAGAACTGAGGTGGTGCTGACTAATGTCTGAGGCTGGCTTGCATGGATACCAGGAATTTCCAAGACAGAACTCATATCAGGAAGGGATTGTCTGGGCTTGTGGCCAGGATCAACATAGGACCTTGCTTGTTGGTTTCAGGGCAACCTTTGGATGAGGCTGGAAATTGCTCCTGCTTCTGCTAGTCTGCATGGGCTTAGGGCACTGAGTAGGTGAATGCAAATAAAAGAACTATAGTCATAAGGGCCCTGCTGTGAAGTACCACAGAGAGAGGGATCTTTCTCCTTTTAAGAAACTTCACGGTCTGAGCAGTAGGATCATTGGAAACCAGAGTAGACAATGACACAGGGTCTTCAAGAAACTATCTGGCAGCAGCATTAAACAATGAAAATGAAAGTCAGGACTGATCAGATTCACAGTTTTCTCTCCTCTTGGAAAAACTTCCAGAATTCTTGGGGGCAATTCTGGGCAAGTGAGCACTTAAGTAATAAAATTAAAGATGTGTAATAAGCTTGTTTGTGTCTGAATGTGGCAAGATAGTCATGCTATTAAAAATATTCTTTAGATGGATATTATAATTATTTTAATTCTGTGAGTATATGTAGCCTTGGAAGTGGCACTAGGATTGGGGAATAAAGGAGAAAACCAATCTAGAATTTAAAAATATACTTGAGACTTGTTTTACAAGTAATTTGTATTAGCCCTTGTTTTAAAATATCACAAACCTTGGCTGGGTACAGTGGCTCACACCTGTAATCCCAGCACTTTGGGAGGCCAAAATGGGAGGATTGCTTGAGCCCAGGACTTCGAGACAAGCCTGGGCAACATAGTGAGACCACATCTCTTAAAAAAAAAAAAATTAGCCTGACGTGATGGTGCGTGCCTGTTGCCCCAGTTACTCAGGAGGCTGAAGTGGGAGGATTGCTTGAGCCCAGGAGGTTGAGGCTGCATGAGTTGTGATGGCACCACTACATTCCTGCCTGGGTGAGAGAGTGAGACCCTGTCTCAAAAATAAAAATAAGATAAAATAAATGCAAATCATTTTTTAGTTTTCTGCAGTAGTATTGATAATTCAAAGTTAATTCAACTTTTCCCCCTACAACTTCCAGAAACAGATGCAGAAATTCAAACCATAACAAATACTTTCTGAAGTGACAATGAGTCATATCAGAAGTGTGATGATCACGCAGATGGGCTGATATAACTCATGATCACCCATCCGGACTGTGGACGTTCTTGTTTTTCAAACGTATTTGAATGCGTTTGATAAAAGCTGTAAATTTCTGGCTAGTCTGTAAATTGCAAGCATTCTCTTTGGGGCTTACATGTCTACTTCCCTTAGCTGGGATCAGCGACTTCTCTTGGGCCTTTCCTCCAGCAGGCTGGGTCCCCTCTCTGTACAGAAGTTAAAAGGATGTTGTCAAGCACAGAAAGGTAAAGTACGTGGAGAAGCAAGAGACTGAGGTTCTTGTCTTCTCTCCACCATTTAGTGGCCACGCAATCTGGATAAGTCACTTAACCTTACTGGATAAAAAATGCCTTCGCTACCGAAGATGGGAACTGGACCAAATAATCCCTTAGGCTCACTGCAAAACAGCAATACTTCTATCCAGCTGCTAAAATTTTGTACGATGTCTCTGGGCAGGATTATTGTCTTTTAACATTCCCTTCTTTTTTCAAATATTATACAATGATAATTTATTGCTAGTTAAAATTATTTAACCAAGAATTTGCACTATTAGTACTTCTTTTTTTCCCCAGCTAAAGAATTGCTGAAATGTTGGCATTACAAATTTAAGAATTTTTGCTAACATAACTCTGCTTTCCATATGTTATTTCAAAAATGGGCTGGGCATAGTGGCTCATACCTGCAATCCTGGCACTTTGGGAGTCTGAGGCAGGAGGATCGCTTGAGCCTGGGAGGTCGAGACCAGCCTGGACAACATAGCAAGACCCCATCTCTACAAAAAAAAAATCAGATGGGCATGTTGGCACGTGCCTGTGGTCCCAGCTACACAGGAGGCTGAAGCAGGAGGATTGATTGGGCCCAGGAAATCAAGGCTGCAGTGAGCTGTATTTGTGACACTGCACTCCAGCCTGGATGACACAGTGAGACCCTGTCTCAAAAAAAATTTTTTTAATGTAGTAAAATGTGTAGAATTAATGATCTTGATCCTAAATCATTAGCAACACTGTCAACTTGAAGCACTAGAACAGAAAAGAGAAGCTGTTCTCTGGTATCACAAAGGCCACCAAAACTCTTGTTTGCGGTTAGTGCTGTGAGAGGTTCAACTTTAGAGTCCCAAGTTCCTTGTGGGTTGTGAGACCACAGGCCAGTTTTTTAGTATCTCTTTTTTGCTACCTGTAAAAGGAGAGTTGCTTTATGAATTAAATAACTGCAAAGCTTTATAGATAGCGTCACACTGTAAAGGGTAGATATTTACCAGCATTTTATAAATTAATTGTGCTAACAGAAGGAAATTCTTTTCCAATATTTTTTTCTCTGATTAAAAATATTTTTATTTGTCATATCATAGTCTCTGGCTACAGATTGCCAAATACAAGCTGTTATTTTATTTGCAATAATTTTCATTATCTTAAATTCAAATCTCGATATAATGTGATACATTTGCTATGTTTTGATTCTTTAAAACAGGATGTTTTTATTAGAATAGTCGTACTCTAGCCACAGTAAGAATGAAAAAATTGAAAGACTCAAAAACAAGTCATCATTACTTTGTTTATTTTCATCCAAGTATAATACGTACTTGAATATCATCTCTAAAATACCATTTCTACCAAATGAATTTGTTCACTAGTGTGGAAATATAGAAGGGAAAATAAAATTAAGGAAACTTTTAAGGAATTATTAGAAGTTAGACGTGTGTTTTTGACAACAAAGCAGTGGAAATGCCTCAACACTGTGAACAATTTAATAGGGTAATATTTTAAAATCTATACTTTAATAAATATCAATTATATACACAATTAAGTTGGTTTTTCAAGAACCTGATCTAGACACAAAAACAAGGATGTGCAAATCCCAATTTAAATTTTTTTATTTCATTACATACAGAATATTTTACTAAAGTTGCTTAATATACAATCTCTCTCTTGTCGCTTTGAAGACCTTTGTCATGAAAACAATAATTCATTTGCCTGATATTTTGCAATAACATTCTTCTCAGTTATTATATTTAGTCTCATTACTGAATAAAATTTGTGTTCTCATGAAACAGTTTTCAGTGTCTTAGCAGTTTCTGGGGAACTCTGATGCATTAATCAGCTTGTCACTTGACTAGCCCATAGAGTGGTGTGCCATGCAGAAGTGAGAAGATGTGGCTTTCTCACTGCAAAGCTTCCCATCCATTAGACTTGTGTGTATCTTTTCTGTCAGGAAATGTTCTGCAGTTTTGAGATAAGATTGCTTCATGTCTGACTGCTTAGTTGGCAATGATCACAGCTTGTGAGTTCGGTTTCACCAAAAATGTCCGTGGACCTCACCTGTAAACTTTAATCCATGCACTTTTTTTTTCTTTGAGGTGTAGTCTTGCTCTGTTGCCCAGGCTGGAGTGCAGTGGCACGATCTCAGCTCACTGCAACCTCTGCCTCCTGGGTTCAAGCAATTCTCTGCCTTAGCCTCCCGAGTAGCTGGGATTACAGGTGCCTGCCACCATGCCGGGCTAATTTTTTGTATTTTTAGTAGAGATGGGGTTTCACCAGCTTGGCCAGGCTGGTCTTGAACTCCTGACCTTGTGATCCACCCCCTTGGCCTCCCAAAGTGCTGGGATTACAGGTGTGAGCCACCACACCCAGCCTATTCCATGTACTTCTTACTTTGCCTTCCCTGGGAAATCAGTTTCCTGGAATATACCAAGGGGCACATTCTACTCCTTTTGCAGCATTCCCAGAAAACCATCGGCGTCCATGCATATGTATACATGTTTGCATATGCATGAACATAGTCATTCATTCTGGCTTCCTTTTCGAGTGGCTTGCGTCATTCTGCCGTGTATTTCCAGAGATTTCCCAGAGATTCCCCAGCGCCCCTCTGATGACTGGCTTATTAGCTTTGCTTGCCTTCATGTCTCTGTATCAATTTCCCCCGTCACCTATCTGTATTCCTTGCACCTTTCAAAAGACTGCCATTTTAGTCCCTTCCCCCAAACCCTGCAAACAGGAATGAGCTATTGTTTCTGTGTTGTATCGTTCAGCTTTCTGGGATTCTGCCATACGGTCTAAGTTTGGAAGTGTTCAGAAAACCCTTCAACTCAATCCCAGTTTGTCTGCTCTTTCTTCATCGTGTCAGAACTGGCAATGGCGTTCTGGTGGCTTGGATGGATACCGCTTTACTGCCTGATATAGTTTGGCTGTGTCCCCACCAAAATCTCATCTTGAATTGTAGCTCCAATAATTCCCATGTGTTGTGGGAGGGACCTGGTGGGAGGTGAATTACAGGGATGGTTTCCCCCATACTGTTCTTGTGGTAGTGAATAAGGCTCCCAAGATCTGATGGTTTTATAAGGGAAACCTCTTTCACTTGGTTCTCGTTTTTCTCTCGTCTGCCACCATGTAAGAGATGCCTTTCGCGTTCCGCCATGATTGTGAGGCCTCCCCGACCAGGTGGAACTGTGAGTCAATTAAACCTCTTTTTCTTTATAAATTATCCGGTCTTGCATATGTCTTTATCAGCAGCATGAAAATGGACTAATAAACTGCACATCTTTCAGGAAGCCACTGACTTACCCAGAAGTTTGTCCACACATCTGGTCTACTCACCAATCAAGGCACATATGTTGTCAAACTAGCTCTTCATTGTCACTGGGGACAGAGAACCTATTTCAATTCTCCATCTATTATTAAAGACTGTTATTTCTCATAATTCGCTGGGCTCAGTTGAGATGTTCTTCTGCTCCAGTGAGTGCGTGCTATGGTCACTCCTGTAGCTGCATTTAGTTTCTGCTGAGGCAGCAACATTCAAGTTGAGGTTGGTCGTTCACACATCTGGTACCTCAGCTGGGTGATGGGACTGGCTCGGCCTCTGTTTCTTTTCTTTTTAAATTTTTTTTTTTTTTTCAGAGAGAGGGGTCTGCTCTGTGGCCCAGGCTGGGGTGCAGTGGTGCAGTCATAGCTCACTGCAGCCTTGAACTCCTGGGCTCAAGTGATCCTCCTGCCTCAGTCTCTCAAGTAGCTGGGACTACAAGCACACACCACCATGTCCAGCTAATGTTTTATTTTCTATAGAGATTGGGTTTTGCTGGCCTGGAACTCCTGGCCTCAAGCGATTCTCCTGCCTTGACCTCCCAAAGCACTGGAATTACAGGCATAGACCACTGTCTCCATGTGGTTTCTCACCATGTTATAGTCTAGCCTATAATAAATGGCTTCCAAGAAAGCGAAAGTGGAAGCTACAAGTTCTTTTAAGGCCTTGGCTTAGAAGTCTAGGTGAAGTGATGTCCCATCACTTCCATTATGTTCTCTTGGTCAAAGCAAGATACAGCATAGCCCAGATTCAAGGGGGAGAGAGATAGATTGATGAATCTTGATGAAAGGAGTGGCTTGCACATTCAGGGACTGTGGCAATTATTGGCAACCATCTTTGGAAATGATCTACCATTGCACCTAATCACCCTCACTGGTGGTCAAAACATCTTGTTTCTTCTCCTTTCCTAATTACTTTGACTACTCTGGCCAGAGATTTACTTCCCATTTTCACTGGGTCTTCAATCTACAAAAGCTAGTCCTCTCTTGATAATATGCCTCTTTTATACATATTCGACAGGGCATAGCAGTACCAGTGGGTATGCAGCAGAGATATCACTTATATAACAGCATTGGTAGTACCTTTGGTAATTATTTAAATAGTTCCTTTTGTGCTTAAATCTAATTAATTATTTAAAACAAAACAAAACAAAACAAAAAAACTGTAGACTTCTCAAGATGAATCTGTTTACATAGTCTTTACGAGAACCTGGAAACTTTGCTGTAGCTATTCAACTGTTCCTGTCATATAATCCTCTTCGCGTCATTTTATAAGAGGCACACATAACAGGAAGTTCGAGCTGACTACTTGCAAAATTAGCCTCCTTTTCCTAGAATTTTAATGGGTGTGAGATCTAAGAAATTTATAGTTGCTCTTCTGGAGCTGCTGCTTGAAGCAACTAGTTGGCTTTGTCCTTGGGGAAACCTGTCGAGCCTTTCTGTCTCATTATCTCTCAGAGTTTTCTCCTAATGGAATAGGACGATGGACCTTAATGGTTTATCCTTCTTTCCCCATCCCCTCTCCTCAGAGAGTGCTTCTTGAATTAAAAACAGGTAGGAGATCAGTCTTCATGTAGAAGTGTTTCTTCCTTTTTTATCTTTTTTATTCTCCTCCTTTTTTTTTTTTTTGAGACAGAGTCTCACTCTGCTGCCCAGGCTGCAGCGCAATGGCATGATTTCAGCTCACTGAAACCTCTGCATCCTGGGTTCAAGCAATTCTTATGTCTCAGCTTCCCGAGTAGCTGGGATTACAGGCATTCGCCACCATGCCCGGCAAATATTTTTTTTTCTGTATTTCTTAGGAGAGACGGGGTTTTGCCATGTTGGCCAGGCTGATCTCAAGCTCCTGACCTCAGGTGATCCACCCATCTTGGCCTCCCAAAGTGCTGAGCCACTGTATCCGGCCTATTCCCCTGCCTTTTGTTATTATTTTAGTTCTAGGGAAAATATTTTCCCTAGCACCAAAATAATTTTGGGTCAGTATTGCAGAGATAAATTTTAAAGCCATGTTTTATATATCTTTAGTATGAAAAGAAATTATTTACTATTTGCCCTTTTCTCAGTAGGAATATCATTATTCAGATGACAGAAAGGTATGGCCTTTCACCTCATTTTACAGATATTTTGAAACCTCTTTTTGCTTCTCTAAAGGAGAAGTTCAAGGAGCAAAGGAATTTGCTTATTTAATTTGTTTTTTTATAGCTATGGAATAGAACCATTTAAAGAACAGCGGCCAGGCATGGTGGCTCACACCTATAATCCCAGCACTTTGGGAGGTCGAGGCAGGAGAATCACTTGAGCCCAGGAGTTTGAGACTACAGTGAGCTATGACTGCAGCCACTGCACTCCAGCCTGAATGACACAGTGAGACCCTGTCTCTGAAATAATAAATACATAAATAACAGGGAAGCTTTTCATCCTCACGTTACTATTGTTTGATTCCACATGACTTGCTTGGCCAGAATAAACCTAGTCTCATTCAACAGGTAAGGCAGATGCCAGGAAATGTCTATGTAAAGGCAGATGTTCTGAAGGGATACCATTGGCCAAGTGGGCAAGCATTAATTAGGGGGTCTGGTGAAAGTATTAGAGTGCTCTGAAACACTGGTCTGGCTTGGTGATGGAGATTGCTGGCACAAGTAATTTATGGAGCCCTAAGTGTGAACTGTTAGAGAAGTCTGTCATAGTTAGCGAGGACTCCAGCCACTACCAGGGTTTCAAGGCGGAAGTTGAAATTTTCCAAGCAGTTCATTAGCAGGAGCAAGACAGCACGTTAGTGCAAGAAGAGCTAAGTTTCTAGACAAGATTTCTCACTGGGTAATGAGAGAAAGACCATTTATCAGACATGCAACAGAGGCATCAGAATGCATTTTTACTGCTTGAGTTTGAACTCTTCAAATTCCTTCTAAGTGAGCTGTCTGCAGTGGTCACTTGGCCTCCTTCCTGAGAAGTGAAGACTTCACAGATTAGGGACCCTGCAAGCCTCATCGGTCGCAGTGCATTGTCTCTTGCACCAACTGTGACAAAGTATGTGAGAAGTTAGTGACTGTTTTTATAGTAAGAGATTTTCATACTTGTGATTCATATACTGCCATATTTTAAGTGGGGTTTTTGTCTCCAGGAAAATTTTTAAACGCTTTAAGTATAAAAATTCCTTCCTGTGTTTGACTCTGCAGGATGGGATGTAGTAGGTTACAGTAGTGGACAGAGGACGATGGGCATGAGGCTAGATTGTGGAAAGGGTTTAAGGATGTGTAAGATTCAATGAGAGGGGAGAAAATCTCACTAACTTTATAGTTGCAGTGAAGGTTGAATCAGATGTGGACCACTGCAATATCCATATCCACAGTTGATAGTCAAGACCCCTCATTTCCCAAATTAACTTTTTTTTTTTTTTTTTGAGCCAGGTCTCACTGTGTCACCCAGGTTGAAGTGCAGTGGCATGATCATAGCTCACTGCAGCCTCAACCTCCCAGGTTCAAAGCTATCCTTCTATCTCAGCATCCCCTCCTTCAAGTAGCCAGGACTACAGATGTACACCACCACACCCAGCTAATTTTTTGCAGAGATGGGTTTTTACCATGTTGCCTATGGTTGGTCTTGAACTCCTGGGCTCAAGGGCTCAAGGGATCCTCCCACCTTGGCCTCCCAAAGTGTTGGGATTATGTGATTGAGTCACCATGCCTGGGCCCAAATTAACTATTATTCACCAAACCCAGGCATTTACAATTTTATTACTCTAGACTTAGCTGAAAAGGCAAGGATTAAATGAATTGTATAGTCTGATCTCTTCCCAAGATAAATTTTAGAATTTCATAGACTGTAACAAGAATACAACTTCTAATAATATTTTTAAAATTCCGTCTCAGGTCAGGAAAATAAGATTGTGGGTTTTTTTTGCAAACTCATCTTTTCTGTCCTCGAGTCTGTCCTCAATTCAAGTCAACGAGCATATGTTAAGCACCTCTTGCACACTCCAGTGCCATGCTAAATGTTTTAAGCAAAGCCAAATCAGTCGAAGAGTTAACCTTAAGATCCATTCATTGAGCATTTCTTTTGCCAAACACCATGCTCGTTGCTTTATGTACATGTCTTATTTAACCCTCTCGATAATCCTTCGAGGTGTTGATCCAGTTACTACTGCTGTGCTAAAAATAACCCCAAAACTTGGTAGCTGAAAATGACCATTTTATCATGCTCGCAGCTTCTTTGGGTCAAGAATTGAGCTCATCTCTCTTCTCTTGCATTTTATCACAGACAGAAAGAAAAAGTCAAGTGGCTCTTTTAATATTTTCTGGGGAAATTTGCTTAGCTAGATCATCAAATTCCTTAAGCATATTTTCTACTTTTAAAATTTTTTTGTAATTATCATTTTCTCATTGTGTATTTTTAATTTTTTTATTAATAGTTTTTGGAGTACAGTTGGTTTTTGGCTACAGGGATAAGTTCTTTAGTGATGATTTCTGAGATTTTAGAGTATTCATCTGCAGAGCACTGTACACTGTACCCAATATGTAGCCTTTTACCCCTCACCAACCTCCCAACTCCTCCACAAAGTCCAGGACATCATTCTTATGCCTTTGCATCCTCATAGCTTAGCTCCCGCTTATAAGTAAGAACACACGATATTTAGTTTTCCACTCCTGAGTTACTTCCATAGAATAAGGGCCTCCAGCTCCATCCAAGTTTCTTCAAAAGACATGATTTCATTCCTTTTAATGACTGAGTAGTATTCAGGGTGTATATGTACCACATTTTTCATCCAACATTTTCTGTTTTTTTCACATTACCACATGTGACAGTGTGGCCAGACTTTCACCACTAGGCAAAATGATTTTGCTTTCCTCCAGCTTCTAATGACATTTTCCTTGCTTGTCTGCAAGTCCCCACCAACAGCCTTCTCCAGCCTAAGATGATAACAGTCTCCTCAAAGCCCGTTCAGCTGCTGCTAGACAGTGGTTTCAAAGTCAACGCCTCATGCTTTAGATTTTTGGTATAGTAGCACTCTATTTCTAGGTGTGAAATTTCTGTTCTGATTATTTTTGCTACATAACAAGTTATCCCCAAAGTTAGTAGCTTAAAGAAACTCTTTTATTATGTTCTTGCAGGCTGTAGCTCAGGAATTTGGACAGAGCAAAACAGAAATGGCTCGTCTCTGCTCCATGAAGGCTGGTCCTCAACTGGGAAGACTCAATGAACAAGTGGGAACTTCACAATTGAGGGCTGGCATCACCTGGACAGGTCTTCAGTCACATGCTTAGCAATGGATGCTGGCTGTTGGCTGGGAATTCAGTTGAGGCTTCCTACCAGACATTTAGCCAAGGGCCTTTTTGTATGACCTAGCTTTCCTCATAGCCTGGTGGCCTCAGAGTAATTGGACTTCTTAAATGCTAGTTTAAGCCTCCACAAGTGAATATCTCAGTGAACAGGGAAGAAGCTGCGTAACTTTTTTTTTTTTTGCTTAGTCTTAGAAGTTACCGAGTGTCGTTTCTCCTGCATTTCATTGTTTACAAACAAGCCACAAGTGTACCTAGTTTCAAGAGGAGGGCACACAGACTCTGCCTCTTCATGAGAGCGTTGTCAAATAATTTATGGATGTATTTTAAAGTTTTCTGTGTTATCATCTTATTTTGCAGATGAGGTGAAGTAAGTGGGCTGAACCCAAGTTGAGTTAACTTCACAGCCACACCTCTCAATTATTAAGGTCTATTGCTTCCAAATATGTTAGAGAATAAGCACCAGTCACAGAAGGGAGAACATGTTGGGCTAAAAGATAGACTTCTTGAGGTGAGCTTGGGAAGAAGTGATGATACAAAAGGTTTTCAATGTCAATACAAAAGAGAACACCAGTTTGTTATGTTGTTCTAAAATCATATGTTCATTAAGAGGATCATTAACATGTTGATGTTCTTAAAATTAACCCAGGCTGGGAAGTATGTCAGGTCAGAAGGAAGGAAGGCAAGAGGTATTTTCTGTGGGCTTTGGAAAAAGGGGAGGAAGAAAAGTCTCAAAGATGGAGAAAAAAGGGCAGGTCATGTCCAGAAACACGTAGTCCAAATTTTTTTGCGAGGAGAATACGTTAGATCTAGGAAGAGAGCAAAGGCTTAACAGGTAAGAGGATGGAATCTTTTTTTTTTTTGAGGCAGAGTTTCACTCTTGTTGCCCAGGCTGGAGTGCAATGGTGTGATCTCGGCTCATTGCAACCTCTGCCTCCCGGGTCCAAGCAATTCTCCTGCCTCAGCCTCCTGAGTAGCTGGGATTACAGGTGCCCGCCACCACATCTGGCTAATTTTTTGTATTTTTAGTAGAGATGGGGTTTCACCATGTTGGCCAGGCTCCTGATCTCAGGAGATCTGCCCACCTCAGCCTCCCAAAGTGCTGAGATTACAGCCGTCAGCCACCACGCCGAGCCAAGAGGGTGGTATCTTATAAGGATTTTGAATGCCATGCCTAGGAATTCAGCCCTTATTCTGTAATCGTGTCATCTAAGGTTCCAGAGCAGAAAAGTAATATGATTAAATCTTTGTTTCAGACAGATAATTATGTAAGTACTATGATTATGTAAATTATATAAGTAATGTGATTTAATCTGTGTTTAAGACAGATAATTTCAAGACGATAGATGGATTAGTGTGGTAAGGCTGCAGGAAAATAACTAGAGGATAATTATTAGGCATGATGTTATTTTATTTCAGGCGTATTTTCCTAAAGAGGCATTAATCTTTTGTCTTAGTTGTACCCTCCTAAAAATACCTCTGATTTTCTCAACAGCATTCTATAACTGAAGGACTTATTTATATGTATAAGTTTACACATATAAATAATATGCATTTATATGTATACATATGTGTATACTTTCATTTACTCTACAAAAATTTTGATGAGGGTCTAAAAGCTATATATAATATGAGAGTAATTTAAAAAATCAAGGCCAGAGAAAAATTTACATTCATTAGCAAGATAAAACAAACTAGAAAATATTATGGGCCGGGCGTGGTGGCTCATGCCTGTAATCCCAGCACTTTGGGAGGCCAAGGCAGGCGGATCATGAGGTCAGGAATTCGAGACCAGCCTGACCAACACAGAGAAACCCTGTCTCTACTAAAAATACAAAAATTACCAGGCGTGGTGGTGTGCACCTGTAATCCCAGCTATTCAGGAGGCTGAGGCGGAGAATCGCTTGAACCTGGGAGGTGGAGGTTGCAGTGAGCTGAGATTGAGCCCATTGCACTCCAGCCTCGGTGACAAAGCAAGACTCTGTCTCAAAAAAAAAATAAATAAAAGAAGAAGAAATAACATATTATGCAGCAATGCAAGGCATAAGGCCATTGGAGTTACTAAATTGGGTTACAAGTTTGACCCTGAGCATCCAGGAAGCCAAAGCAAAAAGGAAAACACAAACTCCTACAAAACATATGTCACCCATGAGACAAAAATTTCCTAAGGAGAAGCAGAGTGAATGATGGTCATGAATTTGAAAGCAGTTATCACATACAGTCAAATAAAATTAGTCATTTGATCCTGGTTTTAGTAATAGAAGGAGCACATTTGTGTAGATTTTTCTTTTTTCTTTTTTTGAGACAGGGTCTCACTCTGTTGCCCAGGCTGGAGTGCCATGGTGCAGTCTTGGCTCACTGCAACCCCCGCTTCCCAGGTTCAAGCGATTCTCGTGCCTCAGCCTCCTGAGTAACTGGGATTACAGGCGCATGCCACCACACTTGACTAATTTTTGTATTTTTAGTAGAGACAGGGTTTCGCCATGTTGGCCAGGCTGGTCTTGAACTCCTGACCTCAAGTGATCCACCCACCTCAGCCTCCCAAAGTGCTGGGATTACAGATGTGAGCCACCGTGCCTGGCCAGATTTTTCTTTTTTTCTTCAGAGACAGGTTCTCACTCTGTCACCCAGGTTGGAGTGCAATGGTGCAATCATAGCTCACTGTAGCCCTGATCTCCTGGGCTCAAGTAATTCTCCCACCTCAGCCTCTTCCCAAGTAGTTGGGACTACAGGTGCGTGCCGCCATGCCTGGCTAATTAAAAAAAATTTTTTTTTTTTTTTTTGTAGAGACAGGGTCTCATTGTGTTGCCTAGGCTGGTCTCGAACTCCTGGCCTCCAGTGATCCTCCTGCCTTAGCCTCCCAAAATGCTGGGATTATAGGTGTGAGCCACCATGCCCAGTAGATTTTAATAAACTGAGAAAAGTGGAGTCGGTATGGTGCCTCAAGCATCATGTGGAGAAAGAGGTAAATGAGATACAAAGGCGTAGACTAGAAAGAGAAGAAATTTGTTACAGCAGGTCCTGGTCAGGGTACAGTGGGAGGTCAAAATAGACAAGGAGGAGTCTTACTCTCATTCTGTAGCTCACAGAAAGACTATAGATACACACAGACACACTTGAAACGTGTATCACCAGTTGTGTTTTTCAGAGGTACAAGTGCAGGTTTGTTACAAAGGTAAACTTGTGTCATGGGGGTTTGTTGTACAGATTATTTCGTCACCCAGGTATTAAGCCTAGTACCATCAGTTGTTCTTCTTGATCCTCTCCCTCCTCCCACCTGCCACCCTCTGAAAGGCCCCAGTGTGTGTCGTTCCCCTCTAGGTGTTCATGTGTTCTCATCATTTAATTCCTGCTTGTAAGTGAGAACATGCACTATTTGGTTTTCTGTTCCTGTGTTAGTTTGCTAAAGATAATGGCCTCCAGCTCCATCCATGTCCTTGCAAAGGACATGATCTCATTCTTTTTTATGGCTGCATAGTATTCCATGGTATCACCAGTTTTTAAATTTTTTTTTTTTTTTTTTTGAGGTGGAGTTTCACTCTTGTTGCCCAGGCTGGAGTGCAATGGCGTGATCTCGGCTCACTGCAATCTCCGCCTCCTGGGTTCAGCAATTCTCCCGCCTCAGCCTCCTGAGTAGCTGGGATTATAGGCTTGTGCCACCATGCCCGGCTAATTTTGTATTTTAGTAGAGACGGGGTTTCTCCATGTTGGTCAGGCTGGTCTTGAACTCCCGACCTCAGGTGATCCACCCACCTCGGCCTCCCAAAGTGCCGGGATTACAGACATGAGCCACCGCGCCCGGCCAGTTTTTAAACATTTTAGCAGGTATTTCATGGGAATGTATAGGCCTTTTATTATGTGCATATTTAATTGATAGTGTCTAAAATATTAAAGAACCCACCAATTTAATTAATTGACTTGTAGCAAAGAACCCTATTGATGATGGCACCCTAAATGTGAAATTTGGCTGTAGGGTAAAAACCATTCCAAGGGCCATGAAAAGAGTCAGGAAACCTACAAAACCAATGGTTGTGCTACCGTGTCTATTCTATGAATCTTTACCAGTGTGATATCTGGCATTGGTATTCATTCCCTCTCACTTTTATCTTTGCTTTTTTCAATAAAGATCTTATTTTTGAAATGTAACTATTCAAGGCAAATGGCCAGGGATAATTTTCAGGGAAACAGACTTAAAACAAGACCTTTGACAGCCCTGTACTCTGTGGTAATGACTAGACAGCGGGCAGCACCAATTCTCTTGATAGATTCCTCCCATCATGAAAACAACCCAGCCGAGCACAGTGACTCATGTCTGTAATCCCAGCACTTTGGGAGGCCGAGGCGGGCGATCACTTGAGGTCAGGAGTTTGAGACCAGCCTGGCCAACACAGTTAAACCCCGTCTCTACTAAAAATACAAAATTAGCCAGGCATGGTGGTACGCACCTGTAATCCCAGCTACTTAGGAGGCTGAAGCAGAAGAATCACTTGAACCTGGGAGGCAGAGGTTGCAGTGAGCCAAGATTGCACTATTGCACTCCAGCCTGGGCAACAGAGTGAGACTCTGTCTCAAAAAAAAAAAAAACAAAACAAATTAAGGGACACTTATCACACTCAAAATGGATATCTAATATTTAGAAAACATCTTTAGCTATACTACAGATTTAACAGCCAGCCAAATTGGAGGTGAATAGCAGAAGAAACATTTCCTTAACAGAGTTATGCAAACCAATAAATTATATGTCCCCTTCAGTTCGAGTTCTGTCAGAAAACGTCTCGTTCCTGTTCCTGGATGAACTAAAGACTCTGCCTGGAAAAGAACTAAGCTGCAATATACACACACCTGACTGCACAGCTGCTGAAGAGGAGAACTTCTGTTTAATCTGTTTTAAATAATAGACAGGTCAGCTCTGAAGTGTTTACATGTTGGCAGACAACAAGTTCTTTCGGGTCTATCTTCCTCTTTTCCTCCACTTCCAAAGGTTGCAATAGCTTTTAGGTTTTTCGTATCTGTAATTCAAGTAAAAACGAAGCCAGGAATGAGCCTACTTCTCCTAAATTGTCAAGGGAAGATGAGCTCATGGTCCCAAATGGTGTGACTTTTTATTTGAGAAATGTCATCCAATTGAGGCAATTTCTAGTGGAAGCTTTACTGATTTCCTGAGAAATAGCTTGCAAAGAAAGCTTTAGCTCACATATCTAAAGTAATGGAAGAATGACGGAGCAGAGACTATGGTGCTCCTAAAAATGATTAAAAACACTTACTGGTCTTCATCCTAACAGGTCATTGAGTGACAGGACATTCAGAATCTTAACACTCCAAAAAGAAGGCTTAGCATAAGACGAACTGTTTTTGTATAAGATCGATCTGTTAGAATAATAGAAAAACGACTCAAAGGAAAACCTAAAATCTTCAGCCATAAGATAAACCAATCTGTACAAGCCCCCAGTCTGTGTTAATATTTCTTACTTGTTCAAAGAGAAGCTAAAATAGAAAAATAATATGGGATGGGGAGAAGAAAAGAGCTGAACAGGAAACCAAGAGACCAATTTCCACCATTCATTTCCTAAAGCACCTCTTTGAGCTCAAGTTTTCTCATTTGTAAAACAGGAGTAATAAACACTCTCATGAGTCTCTCCTAGGACTTTTTTTTTAAAAAAATAAAGTAAGGTAGTAGGTGCAGAAGCTTCTTTGAGTAACGTAAAATATAAGCTAACAATGATTATTACCATTTATATACATTTATGCCATTTATACATTTCTATTACCATTTATACACAATGATTAGGTTATACCAGACACAGGTTTTAAACATATTATCTTATTTAAGCACCACAACAAACTTAAGGTAAGTATAGTCACAATTCTATAGAAAAGACTGAGATTTATAGAGGCTAAGAATTTGCAAATGGTCTTGGTGGTAATAGAGGATAATGTAGATTCTCTGATTCAACAACTGCTACAGAGTTATGGAAGCGTTTAGTTTATTTAGTTCATTCTATTTTTGAGATAGGGTCTCACTCTGTCACCCAGACTGGAGTGCAATGGCCTAATCATGGCTCACGGTAGCTTCGACCTCCCAAGGCTCAGGTGATCCTCCTGTCTCAGCCCCTTGAGTAGCTGGGACTACAGGGACATGCCACCACGCCTGGCTAATTTTTCTATTTTTAGTAGAGATGAGGTTCCACCAGGTTGCTCAGGCTGGTCTCAAGCTTCTGGGCTTAAATGATCCAGAACCCCTCAGCCTCCCAAAGTGCTGGGATTGCAGGAGTGAACCACCATGCCTGGTCAGTTATGTAAGCATTTAGAACTGGAAGGACCTAATGGGTCATTTAGTTTAATCCTATCATTCAGCAAGTACGCCTATTTTCTTATCTTCCTCCTTCATTGTATTTTTTTATTTTGAGACAGAATCTTGCTCTGTCGCCCAGGCTAAAGTGCAGTGGCACGATCTCAGATCACTGCAACCTCTCCCTCCCAGGTTTCTGCAATTCTCCTGCCTCAGCCTCCCGAGTAGCTGGGATTACAGGCATGTGCCGCCACACCCAGCTAATTTTTGTATTTTTAGTAGACATGGGGTTTTCCCATGTTGACCAGGCAGGTCTCAAACTCCTGACCTCAGGCGATCTGCCAGCCTCGGCTTCCCAAAGTCCTCCTTCATTCTAAATCCTACATCCTCATTGTATACACATCCTTTTCCTAAGCACCTTTGAATTTCTCCTTGCTCAAAACACTCCTATCCTTGACTCGTCATTCTTCTAACTCTTAACCATCTTTCTGGTGTCAATTCAAACACCACTGTAAGGAGGTGATATCACACTTACCCCTGTATTGCTAACTTCAGCACAAATGTGGGCACTTAGAAGGTATATAAATATTTATTCAATGAAATGTTGAAGGAGGAAAACTGAGACCTAGAGAAATGAGAAACTGAGACCAAGAGAACATGCCATGTGGCAGTGAACCTCCGGATGTCCAGATCCACTGTTGTACTATATCACTGGTTGTAAAGTTTATTTCTGGCCTAAAAGAATGGGTTTTGAAGCTGAACACTTTGATCATAATCCATTAATTAAAACTGCAGTGATTGCCTAAATTAGCCATGTACTGTAAAAATAGGATGATATATTATTTTGGTTAAGAAAAAAATCAGCTGAGAGGAACACTGAGATAGCTAAAACAAGATTTGTGACCAATTAATAACAAGAGAATGAAAAGCTAGAAGCAATATGCAGCTATAAGAAAGAAAAGCCCAGGGCTACTTCTTATTAATTTTTGCATCATGTGGAATACTTTGTGTCAATCCAGTTTGAAGAATACAACATTCTTCCTCCTACTTAGCTATGCAAAGTTCAATTTCAGCTTTTTCCTGCTCGGGTGCAGCCTTGTTAAAATAAACTGAAAGATGAAAAACATGCAGGAATAAAAATTCTTACATAAGTAGAGGTTTTCATAAATTATGTTTAGGTGAACGTGTAATGCCGAGGCAGGATAATAATTTTAAATGACAAAAGATATTTTCATCTATTAAGAAATGGGATAATTTCAAAAGTGATGTCACCATGCCACACAGCATTGATAGATGGTGTTATTCATGCCAGTGGTATAATCCATTTTCTCTTTTGCCTATTTAGTATAAAGCAATCAGTATGTCACTGAGTGTTTATTAAAATTCATTGACAAATGATATAAACCAGCATCAAGGGAAATATGTCACCTTTAGAGTTTGATTTATTCTTTTAACTTAGGGCCCATTTTCAAACGGCTGGGTAACCTGAAAAGTTAATCTAGCATACTTATAGTAGATGCACTGACTGGTTGAGATAAATTTGGAGTAGAAAAAAAACAACAAAAAAAGCAGAACCATGTGTGTTTTCTAAATTCCCCCGACCGGAAATTTTAAGGATATACAAAAGTGTAGACAATAGTATAACAAACCCCAAGTCTCATCACTCGATTTTAACAATTATCAACTCAAGGTCAATTTTGGTCCATTTATACTTTCTTGCCTCACCAGATTATTTTGAGGCAAGCTCATTTTTAAAATCTGAAACAGTCTTATGATATTCTTTGCTCCAAAAATATGTTTGTATGAATCTGTAAAGCATAAGAACGCTTTTAAAATATAACCAGAGCATCAATATTAAACTTTAAAACGTTAATAATTTGTTAATATTCTAAGCTATTCAACTAGTGTTTACATTTGATTATCTCATAATTGTTTTACAGTTGACTTATTTGAATTAAGATACAAATAAGGTTCATACACTGCAATTTGTTAATATGTCTCTTTCTTACTTTCCTTTTTATCTATAGATTTCTCATCTTTCCCCTTCTTTTTGTTCATTATAACTTTTTTTTTTTTTTTTTTTTTTTTGAGACAGAGTCTCGCTCTGTCGCCCAGGCTGGAGAGTGGTGGCGCGATCGCGGCTCACTGCAAGCTCCGCCTCCCAGGTTCACGCCATTCCCCTGCCTCACCCTCCCGAGTAGCTGGGACCACAGGCGCCCACCACCACGCCCGGCTAATTTTTTTTGTATTTTTAGTAGAGATGGCGTTTCACCGTGTTAGCCAGGATGGTCTCGATCTCCTGACTCCGTGATCCGCCCACCTCAGCCTCCCAAAGTGCTGGGATTACAGGCGTGAGCCACTGTGCCCGGCCTATAACTTATTTTTTACACTTGATCTTAGCCAAAAGGCCGAGAAGCGATATAACTTATTTTTTAAGGAAGGCAGGACACTTCTCTGTCAAGCTTCCCATATTCTAAAACTATCTGATTGCATCCCTATATGTATGGTTTAACATGTTTCTTTTCCTTGCATTTCCTTTAAATTGGGTAGGTTCCTATCACCTATATGCTCATATATAAATAATAATCTATTTTTATTATTTTTCCTTCCATTCCATTTTCCACTTTTTTCTTATGATGTTTATTTGTCCTTGCTTCAGCAGTCTGGTTTAATTTTTTGATGGTAATATTTCCTAAGCGGGGTTGTATATTTCTATCAGAGGCATATATGTCTGGTTGGCTCTCTGTGATATCAATGGCCATTAATGATTTACTATTTCATTAAGGTTAGTAATAGAGTAATATTCTAAGTCTATCACGTTTCTTCATTAGCTAGAATGCTTCCAAATTTTTCCCTCATCAGTTACTGTCTCAGGTACACTTCAAACATATAAGGCAAAATAATGGCTTGATTTCATTTTATCTGCATCAGTTTTCAAAATAACGAGTTGATTCCTAGCATCTTCCATATGTGACCAGTGAGGTCTTTTAGTATCATTACTGACTAAAGGATTGAGACATATCTGGCATATTTCAATTAAGGGTGGTTAATATTCCTTCAAAATTCCAATGGTCCCATATTTGGCTAGTTGAAGACTCTTCAATTTGACTCCTTAAGGCATTTTGACATGATGATTTAGGCTTGTTTTGGCACAAAATATTTAAGATTTACAAATTTTTGGCATTTGTAATGCCAAATATTTTGGCGTTACAAAATATTTGTGTGTTTCTTGCCCTACACCTGCAATTAGCCATTTGTCCAAGAAGCTCTAGTTTCTTTTAGTGCAAAATAGTATTTATATTCCACAACGTAGACACCAGGGGTACTCACTGCTACTTGTTTTATTATTATTAAGCCCCCTTTTTTTTTTTTTTTTTTTAGGTGGAGTCTTACTCTGTAATCCAGGCTGGAGTGCAATGATGTGATCTCAGCTCACTGCAACCTCTACCTCCCAGGTTCAAGCAATTCTCCTGCCTCAGTCTCCCAAGTAGATGGAATTACAGGTGTGTGCCACCACAACCGGCTAATTTTTTTTATTTTTAGTAGAGGTGGGGTTTCACTATGTTGGCCAGGCTGGTTTCGAACTCCTGACCTCATGTGATCCACCCGCCTCAGCCTCCCAAAGTGCTGGGATTACAGGCGTGAGCCACTGCGCCCGGCCTAGTAAGCCCTTTTAAAGAACAGAACTGAAGTCTATATATGTGTGTATATATTTTAAAATTACATTATTAGTTCATATTTACATTTCCAATCGAAATTTTAGGATTATAAAGTTTTAATGTATTTATTTGATTCTATCTTTTTTTTTCTCAAGTGAAAAATCCTGGTTCCTAACAGCATGCACATAATTATTTACTTGATTTCTCTTATATATTATATAACAGCTTGGCCAGGCATGATGGCTCATTCCTGTAATCACAGCACTTTAGGAGGCCAAGGCAGGAGGATCACTTGAGCCCAGGAGTTCGAGACCAGCCTGGGCAACATAGCAAAACCCTGTCTCTATTTTAACAAAGTAATAGTTTCAGAATAGCAATGTCAATAGTATTAGTAGAAATTTGAATGCTAAAAAAACAGTTTAAGACTTTCTGCTTGTTTGATTTTATGGTACATACTACCAGGGATGTAACCTCAGATTACTGTATTTTAAAGTTAATTAAAATACTTCCTCCGTCTGAGCTTATGCCACCAACTCGTGGAACAGTTAGGTTTATTCGTTTCATTTTGCCTTGCTTTATAAAGATAGCTTTTAAAAGCAATTGTGTTATAATTGTTTATAGTAGTACTGTATCGTGTAACAACTACATTCTATAGGGTCACCCTTGTATCCATCATGTAATGATTGTTATACAGGTAAATATATATATTCAACGCCCACCTGATCCTTATGCCAATTCCTCTTCGGTCATTTGTTTGTCTTTTTCTAGTAGGTTCCTTAGGAAGGGCACAGAGAACAATACTCCATGAGTTCTGGCATATTCTTAACAGTTTGTGCATGACTTTAAACTTGACTGGGTATAAAATTCTTGCCTACATTTTCTTTTCTTTTTTTTTTTTTTTTTTTGGAAGGGAGCTTTGCTCTTGTTGCCCTGGCTGGAGTGCAGTGGTGTGATCTCAGCTCTCTGCAACCTCCGCCTCCTGGGTTCAAGCGATTCTCCTGCCTCGGCCTTCCGAGTAGTGGGATTACAGGTGCGCGCCACCATGCCTGGCTAATTTTTTGTATTTTTAGTTGGGACCGGGTTTCACCATGTTGGCCAGGCTGGTCTCAAACTCCTGACCTCAGGTGATCTGCCCGCCTTGGACCCCCAAAGTGCTAGGATTACAGACGCGAGCCACCGCGCCCGGCCTTGACTACATTTTCTTAACTGTTTGTAATATACTTTATTCCATTGCCCTATGGTATAAAATGTTGCTGTTGAGAAATCTGTCCGTCTTAGTCTCTTTCCCTAATGAGTGGCTTGGTTGTTTCACTTTGATGTCTAAAGATTTCATTTGGTTTTTCCCTTTTCTTTCAGTTCAATAAATTTACTTTAAAAAAAAGTCTCATTTTGGCCACTATCAATGGATTTTCCGAGGTACCTCATGTGCCCGTTAAAGATGTGGATTCAGATCTACTTGATATCAGTAACATTTTTCTGAACTATAGCTCCAGTTTGCATTCATTCCCCTTGCTTTGAGTTTCTTCTTTTGAGACTCTTATTACATGTATGCTAATATATAAGTAATAATCTATTACTCCCTCTCCAAACCATTTTCAAAAATTTTAAAAAATATGTTTTTTATTTTTGTAGAGACAGAATCTTGCTATGTTGCCCAGGCTGGTGTTGAACTGCTGGCCTCAACCAATCCTCCTGCCTCGGCCTCTCAAAGTGCTGGGATTACAGGTGTGAGGCACCACACCTGGCTTCTCCAGCCCTTATCTTTTTTTAAAATTTTGTTTTAATTTCTTATTTTCCTCTCATTCTATTTTCTCTTTTTTTCTTATGATGTTTATTTGTCCTTAAGCTCATCCTACTTTGGTCTTCATTTCTGAAATTATTTTTTCTTTTACTCCTAGTTCTTTTTAAAATTCTCTTAGCTCACATTTCAAACTTTTCTTTTGTCCAATCATCTCATTTTCTTTTTTTTTCCTCTTTTAAAATATTTTGAGACAGGGTCTCACTGTGTCACTCAGGCTGGAGTGCAGTGGTGCAATCATAGCTCATTACAGCCTTGACCTCCTGGACTCCAGCGATCCTCCCACTTCAGCCTCCTAAGTAGCCAGGATTACGGTAGCACACCATCATGCCTGGCTAATTTTATTTTTTGTTTTTTGTAGAGACAGGGTCTTGCTATGTTACCTAGGCTGGTTTTGGACTTTTAGTCTCAAGCAGTCCTGCTGTCTCAGCCTCCCTAAATGCTAAGATTACAGGCTCATTTTCTAATTCTGATTTATGGCATTCTTCCATAGCTACAATCATTTTCTGAAATTCTCTAAGCTCATTTGGAAATGTTGGACTAATATTTTTATTATTGTAAGTTCGTGTCTTTATGACATGATTTCATTATCTATAGGAATAATATTCTCTGTCCACTTAATCTTTTTTTTTAAATTTACATCATATGGGATATTCAAGCACAATGACGCTTTAGCTCACGGCTTTCCTATCCTCTTAGAGAGGAGGATGCCGGGAATATCTTCCCTAGGGCCGGTGTTCTAGGGCTTCGTTTTCTGCTGTTACTGTGCTGCATTGAGATCTATGAACTGAGATCCAAACATGGACTTAGATCTGAACACACCACATTCTGAGACGTGTTCCCTTTCCAGCTCGGTGTGGCTATCCTCTTTCTTAAGTTTTGGTGTCCCTGTTCTGTTCTGTTTCCATTCAATGCCTGGCAGTCTCTCCTCAGTATGGGGATTTGTCCTACTTTATGAAAGTGGCGTTGAGCATTTCGGTGCATAAATATTAACCGTTTTCTCTTCCTTGTGTATTTTAACTTCTAGAATTACAAACACTTTTTTTTTTTTTTTTTTTTTTTGGTGACAGAGTCTCACTCTGTTGCCCAGGCCGGAGTGCAGTGGTGTGATCTTGGCTCACTGCAACCTCTGCCTCCTGGGTTCAAGCAATTCTTCTGCCTCAGCCTCCCAAGTAGCTGGGATTACAGGCACGCGCCGCTATGGCTGGCTAATTTTTGCATTTTAGTAGAGGCGGGGTTGCACCATGTTGGTCAGGCTGGTCTCAAACTCCTGACCTTGTGAACCGCCCACCTCTGCCTCCCAAAGTGTTGGGATTATATGCGTGAGCCACTGCGCCCGGCCAAGACTTCTCTCTTTTTAAACACATTTTCGTCGGAGCAATCACAGAGTTTGCAGGAGATCTGGAGCCTGCAAAGTCACCCCCTTCCCCCACCAACAGTTTTGGCTGCTCTTGTCAGATTGACCTGATGGTCTGAGAGTGGACTCATCCCCTGGGGAATGGATGGCTTCCATGCTGACAGTGGACTCTTCCCTTTGGGAACGGGTACTCCAGCCAAGAGTGGAGTTTTCCTTTTGGGAATGGGTACCTTCCATGATGAGAGTTTACTCTTCCCTTTGGAAATGGTATTTTTCCAGGCTGAGAGTTTACGCTTCCCTTTGGAAATGGTATTTTTCCATGCCGAGAGTGTCTCTTCCCTTTGGGAATGGGTAGCTTCCATGTGGAGAACAGACTTTTCCTTTTGGGAGTGGTTGCCTGTTGCTAATTTGCTTTCTAGGCTGTTTTTTGGAAGTCGTTTTTCTTTCTTCTGTTTCTTCCTACGGCCGTTACCATACATATCTTATTGCTGTTAGTGGTTTGACCCCTCCTCCTCATGGGAATATCTTATCACTTTTGTTGTAGACGTCCACAAGATTTTGCTTTGCTGTATCAGTGGTTCTGTCTATTTTTGTAGGGGGACTGGGGGAGATTAAAACGTTTTAGCTGCTGCTGCTATTTATTTGCCTATGGGTAATTTTGGAGCAAATGTGGCACTGTAGACATTTTGAAGCATGTTAAACCCAAGGTGATGTTTTATATGTTTTCTTTATAATAATATTATCCTTTTCCTCTTCTTAAACCTGTCAGATAATAAACATAATACTGATGGAAAATACAATAAAAATCATTGAACAGGACCTGTAAAATCTCAGAGATCCCAGGAGAGAATGCTGTTTTGTCTGTTTGTAACATTATGGAATAAATCATTCCAATCCCCTTCAAAATAAATACTGAGAATTATGACCTTTTTTCCTCTATAATGAGCCTCTTAGAAAGTCAAGCTTAAAGAATGTATGAATAATAAACCAAGAAACACAAACTGGATGAATGAAAATGAAATCAATTTCTAGACTTTCAAGATCTGTCTATTAGTGTGTTACCATATAATATGCAGCTGCCAACATCTTACGTCACTTATTTTCTATTCAAAATGATTAATAACAACCCATAATTTCTTATCACATGATGTGACAATTAACTTATATAATTGTTTCTGTGTTGTTGTTGTTGTTGTCTGAAAAGAATTTGATTCTTTTCATGGAGTAACTAAGTACACTATGTAACATACAAAATCAGGGCCAAGTGCGGTAGCCCTGAATCCTGTAATCCTAGCACTTTGGGAAACCGAGGCAGGGGGGATTGCCTGAGCTCAGGAGTTTGAGACCAGCCTGGGCAACATGTTTGAACCCCATCTCTACTAAAATACAAAAAAAAATTAGCCGGGCCTGATGTCATGTGACTGTAGTCCCAGCTACTCAGGAGGCTGAGGCAGGAGAATTGCTTGAACCTGGGAGGGGGAGGTTGCAATGAGCTGAGATCATGCCACTGCACTCCAGCCTGGGCGACAGAACGAGACTCTGTCTCTTTTCTATTTTATTTTTATTATTATTATACTTTAAGTTTTAGGGTACATGTGCACAATGTGCAGGTTAGTTACATATGTATATATGTGCCATGTTGGTGTGCTGCACCCATTAACTCGTCATTTAGCATTAGGTATATCTCCTAATGCTATCCCTCCCCCACCACCACCCCACAACACTCCCCAGAGTGTGATGTTCCCCTTCCTGTGTCCATGTGTTCTCATTGTTCAATTCCCGCCTATGAGTGAGAACATGTGGTGTTTGGTTTTTTGTTCTTGCAATAGTTTACTGAGAATGATGGTTTCCAATTTCATCCATGTCCCTACAAAGGACATGAACTTATCATTTTTTATGGCTGCATAGTATTCCATGGTTTATATGTGCCACATTTTCTTAATCCAGTCTATCACTGTTGGACATTTGGGTTGGTTCCAAGTCTTTGCTATTGTGAATAGTGCCACAATAAACATACGTGTGCATGTGTCTTTATAGCAGCATGATTTATAGTCCTTTGGGTATATACCCAGTAATGGGATGGCTGGGTCAAATGGTATTTCTAGTTCTAGATCCCTGAGGAATCGCCACACTGACTTCCACAATGGTTGAACTAGTTTACAGTCCCACCAACAGTGTAAAAGTGTTGTTATTTCTCCACATCTTCTCCAGCACCTGTTGTTTCTTGACTTTTTAATGATTGCCATTCTAACTGATGTGAGATGGTATCTCATTGTGGTTTTGATTTGCATTTCTCTGATGACCAGTGATGGTGAGCATTTTTTCATGTGTTTTTTGGCTGCATAAATGTCTTCAAAGAGAATAAAATACCTAGGAATCCAACTTACAAGGGATGTGAAGGACCTCTTCAAGGAGAACTACAAACCACTGCTCAATGAAATAAAAGAGGATACAAAGAAATGGAAGAACATTCCATGCTCATGGGTAGGAAGAATCAATATCGTGAAAATGGCCATACTGCCCAAGGTAATTTATAGATTCAATGCCATCCCCATCAAGCTACCAATGACTTTCTTCACAGAATTGGAAAAAACTACTTTAAAGTTCATATGGAACCAAAAAAGAGCCCGCATCGCCAAGTCAATCCTAAGCCAAAAGAACAAAGCTGGAGGCATCACGCTACCTGACTTCAAACTATACTACAAGGCTACAGTAACCAAAACACCATGGTACTGGTACCAAAACCGAGATATAGATCAATGGAACAGAACAGAGCCCTCAGAAATAATGCCACTTATCTACAACTATCTGATCTTTGACAAACCTGACAAAAACAAGAAATGGGGAAAGGATTCCCTATTTAATAAATGGTGCTGGCAAAACTGGCTAGCCATATGTAGAAAGCTGAAACTGGATCCCTTCGTTACACCTTATTCAAAAATTAATTCAAGATGGATTAAAGACTTAAACGTTAGACCTAAAACCATAAAAACCCTAGAAGAAAACCTAGGCATTACCATTCAGGACATAGGCATGGGCAAAGACTTCATGTCTAAAACACCAAAAGCAATGGCAACAAAAGCCAAAATTGACAAATGGGATCTAATTAAACTAAAGAACTTCTGCACAGCAAAAGAAACTACCAAGAGAGTGAACAGGCAACATACAAAATGGGAGAAAATTTTCGCAACCTACTCATCTGACAAAGGGCTAATATCCAGAATCTACAATGAACTCAAACAAATTTACAAGAAAAAAACAAACAACCCCATCAAAAAGTGGGCGAAGGACATGAACAGACTCTGTCTCTTAAAAAAAAAAAGATCATTTCAGTTAGCAACTTCTATTGTGTATACAGCTACTACTTTAATTAATATGCCCAATCTCCTGGAAATGACTCTGCCAACCAATCAGTTGCCCAAGCTGGAAACTCAGATATCACATTAGACTCCTTCTTCCACCTCACCCCTCCTTTAAATGAGCTATCACATCCTGATTACTTCATCTAGAGATGTCTCTACTTCTCTCTTCTCCCTGCTACCACTTAGCCCTGGGCCACTGTCTCTCTTGCCTGGGCCACTGTAATATGCACCTTCTCTCTCCTCCTGTACCATCTCCAAATTTTAATTTTCTATTTAGTTATTTACTTTTGGGACAGGGTTTTGCTCTGTCACTCAGGCTAGAGTGCAGGCATGATCACAGCTCACTCCAGCTTTGACCTCCTGGTCTCAAGTGATTCTCTCATCTCAGCCTTCTGAGTAGCTGGGACTACAGGCAGGCACCACCACTCCCACATAATTTTTATTAGGAGGAGGTTTAGGAGGAGGATTACGTTAGGAGTTTGAGACCAGCCTGGCCAACATGATGAAACCCTGTCTCTACTAAAAGTACAAAAAAATTAGCTGGGTGTGGTGGCACGCACCTGTAGTTCCAACTACTCGGGAGGCTCAGGCAGGAGAAACTCTTGAACCCAGGAGGCAGAGGTTGCAGTGAGCCAAGATCGTGCCATTGCACTTCAGCCTGGGTGACAGAGCCAGACTCCATCTCAAAAAAAAAAAAAAAGCCCTGTTGCTGTAGGTTCTCCATGTTCTTTGTATTTTCTCCATAACACTTATCATCTTGACTGTTTCATGTACATTTCACTCAGTGGACGGTGAGCTTCATGAGGGCAGGGACTGACTATCTTGCTTACTACTCACTCCCTAGAACTGAACCCTATGCCTGATGCTCAGCAGGTGTTCAATCAATATTTCTTAAATTGCTTGGACTGCCATGAAATCCACATACATAACACAATACCCGCGGCCCAGAGCTAGAATTTGGCTGGTCCAGGGCCTCACTCACTTCTGGTGTAAAAGTTCAGAGGGTACAAAAAAAACATGCAGTAATTAGGATAAATAATATTTACAATGGTTAATGTTCTGTGTCAACTTGACTGGGCCACAGGATGCCCAGATACCTGATTGAACACTATTTTTGGGTGTGTCTGTGAAGGTGTTGAATATGTTTTTGGAACAGCCATCTCTCTGTTGCCCAGCCTGGAGTGCACTGGCATGAACACGGTTCACTGCAGCCTCAAATTCCTGGGCTCAGGCGATCCTCCTGCCTCAGCCTCCCAATCTCTTAAATACTAAGGGATTAGTATTTAAATGGAGGAACTGAGTAAAGCAGATGGTTCTGCCCAATGAGGGCAGGCACCACCCAATGCGTTGAGGGCCTGAAGAGAACAGACAGGCAGAGGAAGAGGAATCCGCCCTTTTACTGCCTGACCACTGAGTTGGGACATCAATATTCTTCTCTTCTTGATGCTCCTGGTTCTCAGGCCTTCAGAGTCAGATTGGAATCTACACCATTAGCTCTCTGGCTCTTAGGCCTTCCAACTACACCACTGGCTTTCCTGGGTCTCCAGCTTGCAGAAGGGAGGAAATTTTCACCTCTATAATCACATGAGCCAGTATCTTATAATAAATCTAAAAAAAGATTTAGATTGATTCTTCTATCTAAATTGGTTCTGTTTCTCTGGAGAACCCTGACTAATGTGATATTTTAAGATATCAAAATTAATATAAAAATATCCATGATGAACAAAATATCAAAATTTTAGATAAGGCAGGCATGGTGGCATGTGCTGGTATTCCTAGCTCTGCAGGAGGCTGAGCTCAGCAGGAGCATCCCTTGAGCTCAGGAAGTCGAGGCTGCAGTGAGCTATGATCATGTCACTGCACTCCAGCCTGGGGACAGAGCGAGACACTGTTTAAAAAAAAAAAATTTCAGATAAAGTCAGAATCAGTCACAGTGCTGTGTTGAGCCAGATTTGCAGCCTGAGGCCAAAAGAAAAAAAAAATTCAGTCATAATGATCCTGGCTTTATTTAAAAATTGGATATTTGTCTATCGTGGGTCTTTTTGCATTAATTTTGATTTATTAAAATATTGTATGAAGGCCGGGCACCGTGGCTCACGCCTGTAATCCTAGCACTTTGAGAGGCCAATGCAGGAGGATTACTTGAGCTCAGGAGTTCGAGACCAGCCTGGGTAATATAATGAGACCCTTATTTCTACAAAAAATTTAAAAATTATCCAGTCATGATGATGCACACCTATAGTCCCAGCTACTTTGGAGGCTGAGGCAGGAAGATCGCTTCAGCCCAGGAGGACAAGGCTGCAGTGAGCCGTGTTCGTGCCACTCAACTCCAGCCTGGGGAACAGAGTGAGACTCTGTTTCAAAAACATACAAATATTGTATGAAAATACTATTTGTCTGGATCACCAAGTATTCTGGAGCACCCTTAAATTTTTATTTTATTTTTTATTTTAAGTTCCATTAGTTTCCTCCATGCATTCACCTTCTTACAGTCTGTTGTTCCTAAAAGCCCAAAGCCCTTTTCCTTTGTCTTGTCATTTCTCTGTAAAATGATTGTTCTTTTATTATAATGCTATATAAGCCCAGGTTCTAACCACCCCTATGAGTCCCTCATCACTAACTTCTCCTGTGTGTATGCAGGATGGACGTGTTAATAAACTTTTTGTTGTTGTTGTTATTTTGAGACAGTGTCTCACTCTGTTGCCCAGGCTGAAGTACAGTGTTGTGATCTCCGATCACTGCAACTTTTGCCTCCTGTGTTCAAGCAATTCTCGTGCCTCAGCCTCCTGAGTAGCTGGAATTTCAGGCATGCACCACCATCCCCAGCTACTTTTTGTATTTTTAGTAGAGACAGGGTTTCACCATGTTGTCCAGGCTGGTCTTGCACTACTGACTTGATCCACCCACCTCGGCCTCCCACGGTGTTAGGATTACAGGCGTGAGCCACCGTGCCTGGCCTTTCTCTTGTTCATCTGACTTTCAGCAGTCTGATTTGCAGGGATCCAGCTAATGAACCTAAGGTGAGTAGAGGAAGAAGGAATTCCCCATCACTCAGTCTACATTGTACTATCTCCTGAGTTCCCACCAGAAAACAAAGTTTTCATACCCATCATTTAATTATGCAAAACAAGCAAGCACCTTTGACTAAATTCTTCTCTCTATGACTTGCCCAACGACCCCTATTTTCTAAACCTAAAAAGTTCATCTAGGTGTTTTTTTTTCCAATGAATATCCCATTTTCTACAAAAATATGTAAGCAGATGCCTCCACTCTCTTAGAATGCAAAGCTTAGCTATCATTCTTTCCTAAATAACTAAGAATTTTATTTTTTTACATATGGATCTTGTATTTATTAACAGTTTACTGCTTGCGAGGAACTATGCTAGATACTTTTCAGATATTTTTATACATTTTCTGTTCTTGCAACTATGCAATATGGATATTATTGCCTCCATTTTATAGATGAGAAAATTGAGGCTTCAAGTATTTTGGATGTGAGGGGGATCTGGCTGTGGCATCTGTCACTCCCTTGATGGCCAGGGTTGATGTGGCTGATCTGGCTGGCTAGGTGGGTGTCCCCTTCCTCACTCACTGCCCCATGTGCATCCCTCCTGAAGCTGTGTGCTAGGTTGAAGAGGAAGACCAACCCCGATAGAGGAGGACAGGTCTTTGGTTAAGGGTACATGAGTAGCTGCATTCCCCTGCTAGAACCTGCAAACAGGCTATCAAGAATTGTAGTATTTTGCTTGAAGTCATATAGCTAGTAAGTTGGTGAATGAATTTGAATCAGATCTAACTTCCAAGTCTGGGCATTTGTCATGAGACTGCCTCGCCTCCCATAATTTAGCTTGCCCCCTCCCTCCCTTCTGCCTTCCCTTCCTCTCTTCCTCTCCCCTCTGCTCCCTCTTTGCTTCCTTTCTTCCTTCTTTAAACAAATATTCACTGTAAATGTGGCAGTGTTCTAGGTGCTGAGGATACAGCACAGAATAAACCAAGTCCCTGCCCTCATGAAGTTTATATTTGAGTTAGTGAAACCAACTTTGCAAAGATTATGACAGTGAGAGGAATCTAGTGTGGCTGACTCCGTCTTGCTTCTAGCCTCACAGGCCAGCTGTCCTCACTCAATTCTGGGCAGAGGCCAAACTAACCATGGGAGGAATTTAGTTTATAGTTTAACTTGGAAGGAAGGATGATAACAGACCCTCCCTAAAACTGATCCCCTCCTTGTTCAGGGACTGAAACTGCCTTTGTAAGGCTAATAAAAGGCCACAAGATTAAGATTACAAGAGGGCCTGAAATCTGCTAAAATGCGGGTGTAGTTTCTATGATCCTTTACTGCTCAGGCGTCATGTGGCCAGAGGTCACAAGAATCGTGACTTCCCCAGGTGCACCCATAGACAACATCACTATTGTAGAACCTAACATTTGTCTTTTGAGATGTTTTTCAGACTTTTGCATTCTGGCAACTGACTGACCCCACCTGGATTTGTGATTCATGACTCAAATGGGTCTGTGGCCCCTACTCAGAGATGGACTTAGTGCAGGAGGACTGTTTTCCACACCCCTATAGTTTCACCCACAACCAATCAGCAGTACCCATTCCCTGGCCCCTATCCACCAAATTATCCATAAAATCCCTAGCCCCTTAGTTCTCAGGGAGACTGATTTGAGTAATAACTCCAGTCCTTCCACTTGGAGACCTTGGGTTAATTAAACTCTTTCTCTACTGCAATACCACAGGTTAAGTGAAGTGGTTTTTCCTGTACATCAGTCAGGAAGAACTCACTGGGCAATTATATTAGGACTGAATGTAGAGACAGACAGTAAACAAATAAGCAAATGTGTATGTTTGTGTGTCAGATGGTGGTAAGTGTTGAAGCTCCCACCATCGTTCCTCCACCCACCAAAAAGGGCAACAAGATATGAGGAATAGGGGTGCTGGGCAGGAGGTTTGCTGCTTTATACAGGGCATGCATATATGCAGCACAAGACCCACACATTTACTATTTATTACAATTGAAAATCTCTCCATCAGCCTCTTTCCCACGTAAATCTTTACTAAAGTGAAAAATAATTTGTCATTTATGTCATTCTTTTTTCTGTATGCTCTAAATGCTTTTAATGAATATATAGCAATATTGCATGCTCTTCTGTTGAATGTTTCTCAGCTCTCATCAACACAGCTTGTTGGTAAGACAAAGCTGAGTTTACTGCTTACCACGCTCTGGGAGAATGCTCCCTTGGCAGAGTTTCTACAGGGTTTCAGGGAGAAAGGCAAGGTCAGATTTTATTGAGAATCGGAAGTTTGGTTTAAGGTGGGGCTTTCAAAGCAAGAGTTTGACTAAGATTGGGTCAGGATCATGTTTACCAATTTAGAGTTAGTGGAAGTAGCATGGCAAAGAATTTGAGGCAAGGGGTTCAAGAGTCTGACAGAATTGTAAACCAACAGTTGATGCTTCCCAGTGAAAAGCTGACAGATCTTTTGGGAACTTCCAGTAACGAACAATCAAGTCATTTCCGAGGGCAAGAGTACCCTGGAAGAGTCAAGTTATGCCAATCAAGTTATACTAATAAAGCTACAAAGACATCATAGTAAAGTCATGTTAATGTAAACTCTTTGAATATATAAATAGATGGCATGCATAGTAAAAGTGGAATAAAGCTTCATGCAATTCCTATAAACCATAACATAGATACGTTTTTAAATTCTTGATAAGTTGGTTTTGAGAACTGTATGAAATGTCATGATCAGAGATGACTCCAGTGTCAAATTTGTTTTCTCTATTTTCTGTTCTGAAACTTCCGAGGTGTTTTGACATCCATTGTTTTTGTCATCTGGATCCACAGTCTAAAATAGGACAAAAATTTTGTTTCTGACCCATTTTAAATCTGTACCGATAGATTATATGAACACATATTATTCTATTTGCTTAAACTGGCTGTGATACAAATAGGGATGATTCTAGGCCAAAATATTTGTTCTTTGCAACTTTGCAATTTGGCATTTGATTACCAGGTCTTCACTCCACTTTTTTCACTTTTCACACCTGGGCCCCAATTTTCCACAGTGCTTCATATAGACGTGCTTCTTTTATGATGGTGGCAGTGGTTAGAAAGAGGTGAGGAGGTGGAATGGAAAAGTCTTAGCTGGCAAGTTCCCCAAAATACTTTTTCAAACTCTCTGGCCAATTTGGAGAAGTGATCATCATTCATGGGTGGCAGACGGGGCCATTCATCCTCTTTGATGCATTTCAGTTTCAGCACAGCTGTCAGGCCAAGGAAGTTATAAATCTTCCTACATGTTAACATTCACATTTAATTAATACTGATAGGCAAAAGTGTCCCTAGAGGGAGATAATGCGATAGAGAGAAGGAAATTTGAGAAGCAGATAATAAAGGTAGTGTATGATAGTGTTATATCTGGATCAATCCAGTTTGATTACTAACAATATCACCTTCCGTTGATATTTGCTTTTTTTTTTTTTTTTTTAAGAAGTGGCTCTTCTGTCATTTGGATTTGGAGTTTTCTAATGCTTACTTTAAAAGATTAGATATCTCTCCCTTTTTTCTTTGGAAAAGGTAGGAGAACAAACTCAGACCCTTCCAATTTCTCATGCAAGATTTTAGAACTTTTATACCCATTCCTGACATCCATCAGTTTAATGGAAGCCCCAGACAGTTTCTTTTGGGCATCAGGGTATGACAATGTCCGGAGGCTATGATTTCTAAATGGTCCTTGGGCTCAGCCAAAGTCAAGTTGACTCAGCAGCCATGAGTTATGCAGACATTAATAGTCCTTTCACAATTTCACCCTGCATTTTTTACATGCTAAAAAGCAGCCTAGAGGATGACCTTCCCTTAGGTGCCTAAGGCAATCCCTATTTAGATAATGAACAACCATGCAAAGTTGGGGGAAAAAAAACAAAAACCACAGCATACCCAGAACAGTCCTATTTGGTTGTGTTCAATGTGTGATATGCTTCTGAGATGGGTGATGGGAGAGGAAGCCTCATTTAACCTCTCTTCTTACATGCATACTCTTAACCTTCAATCTACGGCCGATAGGGTGGCCTCCTAGGGAATTTCCAAATATTACCCTTCCCCAGGTCATGTTTTTCACCAGAGATGATCTCAGGGATTGTCTGAGTACCTTGTAGCCACCTACAGAGCGTGGAAAAGTGGTCAGGTAGTCCAGCAACGTTGCATCTGGATGAATTTACTTTCTTCTCCAGGCTCTAGTGAAGGTAACTTCCCTTCCTTCCAGATTAAAAGTCTGACTATTAATGCAACAATATTGCCAATTGTTAAGACTTCTTTTTATATTTATTTACTTCTAGAGATGGGGGGCAGGGGTCTCACTATGTTGCTCAGGTTGATCTTGAACTCCTAGGCTCAAGTGATCCTCCCATCTTGGCCTCTCAAAGTGCTGGGATTACAGGTGTGCATAACTCCACCCAGCCAAAGCCTCGTAAACAATTCCTGTATCTGATTTTTGGCTTTTCGTTAGGATGGTGAGCCAGGATGGGTTGCTGGCTTTCTTTTCCCAAATCAACCCTGGAGAATCTAGTAGTAAGACAGAAGCTTGGAGCTGAGAAACTAACATAAATATGGCATGAACATCCTGGGGAATGTGAACAGTGGGGTGAACTCCTGTGTGTGGATGGTGGGTGAAATGGGGGCCAGGCTGGAGCGACAGAGACAGCTTGAGGAGAAGGATCTCACAGGCACAGTGAGAGCACAGCTTGAAAAAAGCTTTAATGTTCTGCTGTTTCTTCTTTCTTCCAAGGTCTTGGGTTAATGGTTGCTACACTCTTCACTGCAGGAATCAGCCATTATAGCCTGGGTCTTCAGGTTAATATCAGAGCAGAACAAAAGCCTTCCAAGAATGAAGAGTTTATAACAGTATACGAAAAATGACTAGCCACACTCTGGCACTTTCTTCACCTCTGTCTCTCTAGGGCAAGTAGGTTGTAACTGAGGGAGACTATCTACTCAAAATGCCTATTCTTTTGAGGAGTTTAAAGATGAATTCTTGACTGGAACAGGTGCTCACCAAGCATGAAGCATGATGAATACATTAAATAAATAAACAGCAACAAAAACTCCCTCGCCTAGATGCCATAGTCACATTTCAGAACATCAAAGACAAAGAGAATTATAAGTTTCTGGAGATAAACAGCAGACCATCTACAGAGAAACAAAAATCAAACTTTTCAATAGCAATGCTGGTTACAAGAAAACAATGGCTTAGCATTTTAAAACAAAGAGAAATGAACTTTGAGCCAAGATTTTTATATCTAGCCATATGGCATTTAAACATGAGGGTATACATAAAAATTTAAGTACTTTCTCCAAGTGTGTGTTGTTTGTTCAACAGCAGTTCAGGATTAATGCGGCAATTTCATGGTATGGGGGCCTATTCTCCTACTATTATGTTGTTGTGTCATCCTGAGGTGCTGGCCTCATCTGTATGATCCACTATTGTTACTCTGGATACCACCATTATATCTGCATTTCAGCCACCAGAAACAAGGAACTGGAAGACATACCCATTTCTGATATGGGTGATGGGAAAGGAAGCTTCATTTAACCTCTCTTCTTACATGCATACTCTCTACCTCCAGAAGCAATCTACGGGATTCCTGATAGGGTGGCCCTTTTTAAAGTTACAAGCAAAAGATGATCACATCAACTTCTACTCATATCCCATTGACCAGAACTTAATTACGAGGTCATATCTAGCTGCAAGAGAGGATGGTAAAGGCAGTCTTAATTCTGGATGGATATAACTCTAGTTAAAATTCAGAGTTTCTGTAACAAAGTGAAAAAGTGAAAAAAGGAGATATTTTTCCTACCACTATATACCCCAAAACAAAAAAGTTCACTTTATAGTAGAGGAAAAGACAAGAATGTATGTCTCTAACACCGCTACTGCTTAACATAATCCCAGTGAATGCCATAAAAAAAAGAAAAACAAATGGTGTATAAAGCTTGGTCAAGAAAGAGATAGATAACATAATTTACCTAGGAATGGAATCAATAGATGAGCTACTAGAACAATGAAGGGAGTTGATCAAGGTTGCTGCATACATGATCAACATAAAAATCAGTAATTTTTAATGCTTGTATTAACTGTCTAGAAAATATAAGAAAAATAAGGCATGATTTACAATTTCAATAAAAACTAAAGGTATTTAGGAATTAACAAGGAATAAACCTTTTTTGAGAAAAAAATTTTCAACTGAACAAAGGACATAACAATTAATCCAACTAAATACGCTTTCAATGTCTCTGGATGGATGTTAATACCATAAAGTTGTCAATTCTTCTCAAATTAATCTATATAGTCAAGGAAATTTCAATGAAATTCGTGGTTAAATTTACTACAGAATTCATGTGAAAGACTAAAGGTCCACGAATGGTCAATTTGATCTTTACAAAAATGAGAAATGTGGCTGCTCCTGTTCTATCAGATACTAAGACATACTACAAAGCCTCACAGTGCTAGAAACAGTGTGATATTGGTAGACAGGCAGACAGTAAAACAATGGAACAGAACAGACAATTCAGCAACTTAATATATGATGAAGATGGCTCTACAGATTAATATGAAAGCATACATGTTAGCAGATGATGTTGGAAACACTGACTCCCATATAAAGAAAGTTGAAACTGATTCCTATGTACCACCTGCAAAGTTGGACTCCAGATAAAGACTTGGATATGAAAAATATACATATCAGATTTAATAGAAAATATAGCATGAGAATATCCCCTTACATGAGGGATAGGAAAAGGCTTCTTCTATTTTTGCAAAAGATGTATCATAAAGAAACAACTAAGGATTTCCATGCAATGAAAGATGCCACAGACAAGGTTAGAAGTGACAGATATTGAGAAATCATTGGCAAGGCCTAAAGCTGACAAGGAACCGAAACCTAGAAAACACAAGGAACTGGGGATTTCTGCACATCAACCAGAAGAAGGTAGGGACTCTGACAAAACAAAACAAAACAAAACAAAAAATCTAAGAATACAGATAGGTGATTTACAGAAGGGAAAATTCAAATAAAAGTTAACAAACAGAAGAGTTGCTCCAATATATTATTCCTCAGAATTGTAAGTCAACATACAATGAAGTATCATTTCCACACAATAGCCTGGCAAAGGATAGGGATGTGGAATTACAGGCACCCTCATGAATAGGCTGATGGAAGTATAAATTGGTATTGCAGTCTTGAACATCCGGGCAGGAAATCTTTAAACTGAGTATGCATATTTCTAGGATACAGGAATTCTCTTTCTTGGTATTTCTGGAAGGAATTCACACACAGGCCCACGTTGGAACAGGCTTACGGATATTCATCATAGCATTGTTTGTGGGAGTTAGAGGCCATCAGGGTACCTATCTCTGGGATAGAGGATTAGTGTAATGTTCTGTATGTCTGCTGTGGAACACAGGGCAGCCCTTAGAAGCAATGCACTGAATGTCCACACAGCAACATGGCTCATTCTCAAAGACAGAGTGCTGAGTAACAGTTGGAAGAAAGAATGCTACCTGTAGCTCAAGACCATTTACGTAATACAGTAAGAAATGCACACAAGACCAGGCGCGGTGGCTCATGCCTATAATCCCAGCACTTTGGGAGGCCGAGGTGGGAGGATTACCTGAGGTTGAGAGTTCGAGACCAGCCTGGCCAACATAGTGAAACCCCATCTCTACTAACAACACAAAACCTAGCCGGGTGTGGTGGCACACGCCTGTAATCCCAGCTAGTCGGGAGGCTGAGGCAGGAGAATTGCTTAAACCTGGGAGGCAGAGGTTGCAGTGAGCTGAGATTGTGCCACCACACTCCAACCTGGGCACCACCACACTCCAGCCTGGGCAACAGAGCAAAATTCCATCTCAAAAAAAGAAAAAAATAAATGCACACAAACCTAAAATAAACTTCTTGAAAGAATAAACACAGATGAGAGGATATGCATCAGAGGAATTAGAAATTTTGGTGTGGCAGGGAGGTTGGAGGAGTGGGAGTGGGAAAAGAATAACTAGAGAAAGGAGGGAGGAGTCCAGCACAGACCATTACTGAAAGCATTTTCTGTTTGTTTCCCTCCTGAAAACATTAGGATGGGTGAGCTCTTGGAGGGATCCTGGCTCTGAAGGCACCTAGGTGAGAATGGACGTGGGATAGTGTGAGGGCATGGATTTGAGGCTGGTGGACGGGTGAAGGGATGACTTAAAAGGTGATTTGCTACTGATAAGGATCCCAAAGAGGAGAAAATTAGAATCCAGATGAGTACAGCCTTCTTCCTAGCTTTGCCGGCTTTTCCTTGGGAAAGAACATAATATTTACATTGAAAAAAAAAAAAAAAACAAACCAAGTCCAAGTACAAACCACAGGGGGGCACTTTTCCCTCATTAAAATTGAAGAGCCAGCATCTTAGAAAAAGGAGTCCAGAGAACACGGTGGGAAGGCTCCGTCTCACATCACTGGGGAGTTTCTGGCTCCACAATTAATTGCCAACACCTGGGCTAATTTCCCCAGGTGTAATTTGTCTCCACAAGGGGCCAACCTTTAAAGTCTTACAATGCATGAAATATAGCAGAGAAAATACAGTTGAAAGAAAAAAAAATAGCCATTCAAACTTTAAAATCACCTGATTGAAATAAAATTAAATAGCATAATACTGGTGTAATGCTATATTTGTTTCTTCAGATTCCCCAGAAATGCTTTATAAGTCTATACTTTAAAAATATTTAAACTCTTCTCTCTTAAAAACCTTCGTAAATCCTAAAATATTAGTTTTGGAAAGCTCTGATTTATTTCTTCCTAAAGCTGGGATTTTGTTTCTAATTTTGCTCTTGAAAATGATTTCAAATTCACTGACAAATGAAATAAAATAACATAATGAAAATTTTTGGAGTATGGCTGTAACAAAAAGACCAACTTAGTAATATAACAGCTCTATAGAATATCATCTTACATAGAGACTTTAAAATACCGAAGTGTATATTATTTTATTTCTTACGAATAAAGGTAGTTGGGGCAGATGTATTATCCTGAATTCAAAAAAAGACAAGACTTTTAAGTGAAAATTTCAAGGGAAGTATTGGTATTTGCGGTAGACTTTGAAAAATGGGTAGACTTTATATGACGAAAAGGTCATTGAAGGCAGAGGGAACAATTTGAGCAAAAGTTCACGTATTAGTCCTTTTTCACATTGCTATAAAGAACTGCCCAAGACTGGGTAATTTATAAAGGAAAGAAGTTTAATTGACTCACAGTTTCACATGGCTGGGGAGGTCTCAGGAAACTTACGATCTTGGCAGAAGAGGAAGCAGGCACGTCTTACGTGGGGACCCACAAGAGAGCTCAGGAAAAACTACCATTTATAAAACCATCAGATCTCGTGAGAATTCAATCACTATCACAAGAACAGCATGAGGGAAACTGTCCTCGTAATCCAATCACCTTCCACTAGGTCCCTCCCTTTACACAGGAGGATTACAATTCAAGATAAAATCTGGGTGTGGACACAGAGCCAAACTCTATCAGTTGAGAAATGATAAACGTGAAGACATGTTTGGGAAATGGTGTTTCTATTTGTTAGGCTCTAAGACTGGTCATAACAAGAAACACCAATATAATACCTACTAAGCGCTTGGTACTATTCTAAGTGCCTAATATACATATATTAACTCAATCTTTACACAACCCTAACAGAACACTTTTCAAGTGAAGTAACTGACACATAAAAAGTTGATATCTGAGCTCACACAGATGTTGAACCTTGGTGTCCCGGTGCTGATAACAACAAGGGTATAGTTTGTAGTTTGGATATTGACTGTGGAGTTAATGCAGGACAGGTGAGCCGTCAAAGTGGCGCTAAGCCCACGAAGTTTCTTGGCTTCACCCAGGAAAGAAATCAAGGATGAGCCAGTAGAGTTAAGACAGCAATCTTTTAATTGGATGCTACTGCTCCCTATGGAGTAGAGCTAACTCACAAGCAGGGCACCACAATCAGCAACAGCCTGGGCTGTTGGCCACTGTATTCATACTCACGTGAGCCCACTTTCAGTTACATGCAAATTGAGGGGGAGTTACTTTGAACTTTTAGGAAATGAGGCAGTAACTTCCAGGTTGTTACCATGGAAAGGAGAAGTAATTTCCTGGGTTGTTGCCATGGCATTTGTAAACTGTCATGGCGCTGGGGGGAGTGTCTTGTGCTAATAAGCAATGAAGATAGCTGGTGATCACTTTCCTCATCTTCTGCTGGTTCCTGCTGGTTGGTTTCTTTCCTTTCTTTTTTTTTTTTTTTTTTTGCCTTTTCTTTTTTTGAGACAGGGTCCCACTCTGTTGCCCAGGCTGGACTACGGTGGCATGATCATAGCTCACTGCAGCCTTGATCTCCCAGGCTCTAGCAATCCTCCCACCTCAGTTTCCTGAGTAGTTGAGACCACAGGCACAAATCAACATGCCCAGCTAATTTTTGTAGAGACAGGGTCTTGCTATGTTGCCCAGGCTGGTCTTGAACTCCTGGGTTCAAGCCATCCTCCTGCTTCAGCCTCCCAAAGTGCTGAGGTTACAGGTGTGATCCCAGCCTAGTTTCTTCACTTCATCCTCTTGAGACTGGGAAATAAGTCCTACCCATCTCCTACTCAGTTTCATCTCAACTGCCTTGCAATGGAGAGAAACTGCAAATTTGTTCTTGGAACAGCAGCATGGCATGAGACCTACGTGTGACAACTCTGAAGAAAAATATTTTGGAAGTGCCATATAGGATCGATCAGGTTAGGAAGTAAGTGAAGTCAAGGGACCAGTTTCGATGCTAGAAGAGGGGAAGGTGGTGACAGAGAAAATATATTGAAGAGGTGAAAAGAGGGGGAGAAATTAAAGATAAAGATAAATCTAGGAAATCTAACCTGCGAGGCTTGACAGTGGCTCAATAGCATCATCATAGGAAATAGGCCAAGAGGAAGGTTTAGTTTGGGCAGGAGGAGCAGATAAGAACTTAAGTGAGGTGCTGGTGGGAAATCACAGTGGCGAGATATCCAGGAAGCTTCCAGAAACAGGAGTGTTTTCTGTTCATTAGAGAGGACAAAGCTGGAGGTCAAATTTAGGAGTCATCCAGTTAAGGAACAAGGAAGCCAATCCGTGCATGCGAAGTGTTCCCTGAGAATCACAGCAGAGGGACAGAACTCACAACTGGACCACAGAGAAAAGCATTTTAGCCTACATTTTTCAAAGGTTTTTGACTTTCTTCCACCCGCTAAATCCAGAGCCATATAACATACCCACGCCACTAACAAAGCCTTTAACTGATTATTACAGGACTCCACATCAGTTTAGGACAAGGCGGCTTCACCAGAGCCTCTGGAAAGGCCACTCTCAGATGCTGAGGCTGAAAATCTCTTGCTTCTGTGTTAAGAATGATTCTCTTTCTGCCTTCTACCACTTGCTCCTATGCTGTGAGTGGGTGTGGTGGGTGCACTTCTTATAGCTGTGGATCTTGATCAATAAGCTATTATTTTATGTTTTATTTATTTATTTTTTTGTACAGATGGGGTCTCGCTATGTATTCCAGGCTGGTTTTAAACTCCTGGCCTCAAATGATCCTTCCACCTTGGGTTCCCAAAGTGCTGGGATTACAGGCACGAGCTACTGTGCCTGGCCCCAGCTATTATTGTACACTTTCTGCTTTTTCTGTTCCTGAAAGAATACTGCAGATGAGGACATCACTGGAGAACTTGCCTCCTTTCCCCAATAAAAATGGAATTTAGTCTGGCTTGCCAGGGTTTCAGAAGCAGAAAATGTTATGGTCTGTGTGTTTATCATGCTGGTGAATTCCATAGATCTGCCATTTTCAAATTCAAGAAGCCTCCGAAATTAAAAAAAAACTCAAGATACTGTCTGGGCCAAGTGAAAACTTTCTCTTCACCCTCTGAAGGTTCACTGGAAATCACTGAAAAGAAGCAGATTAACGAGAAAAAGCATACACATTTATTTGATCTTAATTTTTTTTTTTTTTTTTTTTTGTGAGACAGAGTCTTGCTCTGTTGCCCAGGCTGGAGTGTAGTGGTATGATCTCGGCTCACTGCAAGCTCCGCCTCCCGAGTTCATGCCATTCTCTTGCCTCAGCCTCCCGAGTAGCTGGGACTACAGGTGCCCGCCCCCATGCCCGGCTAATTTTTTGTATTTTTAGTAGACACGGGGTTTCACCATGTTAGCCAGGATGGTCTCGATCTCCTGACTTCATGATCTGCCCGCATCAGCTTCCCAAAGTGCTGGGATTACAGGCGTGAGCCACCGCACCCGGCCTTGATCTTAGTTTTATGTGATGTGAATGCCTTTAGGTGAAGACCCAAAGATACAAAGGTAATTGTCAATTTTTTACTTAGGTGCAACAGAATATGAACAGCCATGTAGAAATAGGCTTGGACAAAAGGGTCTGATCTAATGTTAATGGACTGAGTGGGGAAACCCAGCAAGGACTTTCTATCTAGATTCTTCTTGGCCTCTCTGTGCAGCAATTTTTCCATCTGGGAATGGGGCACAACCCTCTCTGGAATGAGGGTCTTATGACCTATAGTCAATGTATTTGTCTGTTTTCCTGCTGCTGATAAAGACATACCCGAGACCAGGAAGAAAAATGGGTTTAATGGACTTACAGTTCTGCATGCCTGGGGAGGCCTCACAATCATGGTGAAGGCAAGGAGGAGCAAGTCACATCTTACATGGATGGCAGCAGGCAAAGAGAGAGAGCCAAGCAAAAAGGGGTTTCTCCTTATAAAAGCATCAGATCTCGTGAGACTTACTCACAACCATGAGAACAGTATGGGAGAAAGCACCCCCATGATTCAATTATCTCCCACCGGCTCCCTCCTACAACACGAAGGAATTATGGGAGTTACAATTCAAGATGAGATTTGGGTGGGGACACAGCCAACCGTATCAGTCAAACAAGGTAGATCAAATAATTTCCTTATGGCTTGTGGGTTATTTGTTTTGTTTCGTTTGAGACAGGGTTTTCCTCTGGCACCCAGGCTACGTACAGTAGCGCGATTACAGTTCACTGCAGCCTCAAATTCCTGGACCCAAGCAATTCTCTGGCCTTAGCCTCCTGAGTAGCTGGGATTACAAACTTGTACCACCATACCCATCTAATTTTTTAATTTTTTGTAGAGTCTGGGTCCCAGGCAGGTCTCAAACTCCTGGACTCAAGTGCTCCTCCCACCTTGGCACCCCAAAATGCTGGGATTGTTCAAGAGCCACCACATCCAGCCCTTATGGCTGGTTTTTACATGGAAACTTTGGGATGGGGGAGTTAGAATGATATTTTTAGGTTTTTTAGCTGGTTTGGGGGAAAAACATTTCTGGTTCTATGACCTGCCTTGGGGAAGAAAGATTCTAGTTTCCATGGCTAGCCTTGGGAGAGAATGGGATGAGAGACGGAGGGCAGGAAAAAGAAAAAAAATTTTTGCTTCTGAGACCTTCATTTTGAGGTATTATTTTCTGAGTCCCAACAATACTATGAAATTTATTTACATTTATGAGACATCATCATAATGCATATTTTGCCAATGAACTCCTAATCTGTGTCTTTAATATGTTATGGATCCATTCATTCTGCAAATGTTTTCTATCACCTACTTAAGTAACAGTGTGGTTCAAAGTGCTGGGGATACAGTGTGAAAAAGACAGTCAACATTCCTGTCCACTAAGAGTGTTGACTACCAAACAGGAAAACTGTGAGTTTGAATGTATTTCCTTAAATGAAAAGAACAATTAAAAAGAAAATAAGAAAAAAAAGGTAAATTTAAATTTCTTAAATATAGAGACAAGTAAAAATCAATTTAAAAAGCTTAATTGGTCATTCCTTTAAAAAAAGTATGGGAGAACTGTTACTTTTATGTGGGGCTCAAAATAAGTCATATTATTTCAATATCAGTATTGAAACATTATAAATTCTGAATATGTGTTTTATGTAAAAACGAATGGATGAGAAAAAGGCATGAGGAATTTTCCTTCCCTCGGGTGTCGATTAAAGTGCTGTTTGTTTCAGAGAGAAGGAATCTTCCTCTCCTAGGCTGGATAATATTCATCTGTTCAGCTCTGCTTAAACCTGATGACCAGCTCTATAAAAAGGCACATTCTTAAAATGGCAACTCATCTTTAGTCTGTAATTTTAGATTTGGCAATCTTTTGTATTAAATTTTTATTATCTAGCTGTCCTTTCTTCTAATTAAATCTCTAAACATTTTGTGTGTGTGTGTGGTGACACTGGTCTATTCCTGTATCTCTATCCTATTATATCATTGACACATGCCTATAATTTATACTTACTTAACAAAACTCCTAAGTAAAAGTTGTTTCATTTTAAAGGCATTTTCTCTGAAAACATGAGTCCCAGTAATACGACTGATATTATTGCACTTATTTAAACTATTTTCCAGAACAGATTTAAAATAACTAGGACAACATCAGTAATTCTAAGGTGGAATGAAATCAGTAGCAGCAATAACATGCCATAGTTCTCAGAAGAAAGGAAAAATATCTTCTTCCAATTCAGTGGCAACATGAGGTCATATTTGTTGGGCACCTGTGGAGACAGTAGAGATTCCTGGGTTCACAGCTGCTAATAACTTGCTTTGGGACCTGGAAAAAGAATCATTTCTCTTCCCACGGGTTGGCTTTCACAGCTGGAATAGAAAGGGTAATTAGACTGTTGTCTGGATAAGGCAGGAAAGAAAATTGGAGCCGTGCTCTCCTTAGCCCAATAATCTAAACACAAAATATGATATTGGCTCAAATGATTTGAAAAACTCCTCCAAATTTTTATTTTGTGTGTATGTTGGAGACTTGATTGAACAGACAAAGTGGTCGTCAAAGAAAAATTGTCAAAGCAAAACAAATAAAAATGCCTGTGAGGGGATAAAACAGTGAAAATAATTGGCCGAGAGAAGTTCCAAGTTAGTAAGTTTCTCAGAGAAAGCGAGAAGAGAACGCCAAGTTGTCTTGGCTCTGTAATATTAGTTATAATATAAATTTGACTAAATTTCTATAAGATGTTAAATATCACTGAAACGTCTTAATGGAGTTAATGAGGTGATAAGATAGGGTACAAAAATGCCAGCTAGGTCACACATGAAAAGTTCATCATCAAAGTAGGCAAAATATAATTATATTCATTCTCTAGCCTAGGTAATCAATTCATTAGAATCAGGTGCCTCTGAACACAGGTGCAAAATCGGAATCATTCAAATATGCAAAACATAATTAAAGGAACATTTTCCAAGGGAAAATTAATTATGCTGGGTAAACATACGGTTATCTCACAACTTAAAAATGAAATTACCACTTAGAGCTCGTGTAGAGTCTGGGAGAATAAGAATTCTGAATTATAACCTAAGCAATTTGGAACAGCGAGGTGATCAGCATCCTTGGGATGGAGCCATCCTAAGTAATTCAGCGAATGTAAGAGTGTAAGAAAATGCTCTCCAAAGGCCAGGCACGGTGGCTCACGCTTGTAATCCCAGCTCTTTGGGAGGCCGAAGCGGGTGGATCACGAGGTCAGGAGATCAAGACCATCCCGGCTAACATGGTGAAACCCCATCTCTACTAAAAAATTAGCTGGGCGTGGTGGCGGGCGACTGTAGTGCCAGCTATTCGGGAGGCTGAGGCAGGAGAATCACTTGAACCTGGGAGGCGGAGGTTGCAGTGAGCCGAGATCGTGCCACTGCGCTCCAGCCTGGGTGACAGAGCAAGAGTCCGTCTCAAAAAAAAAAAAAAAAAAAAAAAAAAAAAAATAGCTGTAGCTGTCTCTCCAGATAAAAATAAAATTAAAAAAAAAAAAAAGAAAATGCTCTCTGGAAGCATGGTGAGTAGGAATATGTGAAATGCTAAACAGAGGTCTTCTCATCGAAAATTCTTCTGAGGGATTATCATTTCCATGGCCAAATATGAAGGAACGGAAGTGACAACGTCTAAAAGGAAGAGATCTGAAATGAGGCATTTTATTCATCAAGGATTTTCTTAATTATCAGAATATTTTGGCTTTAAATAACAGTTCCTGTGCTATTCATGTGACTCTAGATCAAAAATGCCTCCAGATCTTAATTTCTCACCTCCTACTCTTGTAGGGTACAGAAGAAGAGAGATCTAATTTCTGTGCAATTTCCTAATCACAACAGTACTATTTCTTAATCCCCAAATGACAACCTTTGGTATTCCATTTGGACATCCAATTTTCCATATTTAGCTTTTGGAACAAATAAGTCTCTTGGATGAGTGTTTGATTTTACTGAATTGTGCTTTTCTGGGCTCTCAGGCTTGCTTTTTAAAAACTTTGATAGTGATCCAAGAAACCTATTTTACCTGTGGAAAGCAATGGTGAAATGTACTGGGCTTTGAATAATTTATAGTATCTTTTTCGGAAAAAAAGTAAACATTTTATAGTAAATAAAATATATATTTAGAAGAACAACAAAAATATGAGATAGGTCCCTGGGTCACTGTTTGTTCAGAACACCTTTGCACAGAATGTGTTATATCTTTAGACCCACAATATATTTTATTTTTTTATTTATTTAGAGACGGAATCTCCCTCTGTCGCCCAGGCTGGATTGGAGTGCAGTGGTGAGATGGCAGCTCACTGCAAACTCCGCCTCCTGGGTTCAAGGGATTCTCCTGCCTCAGCCTCCTGAGTAGCTACAATTACAGGCCTGCACCACCACGCCTGGCTAACTTTTGTACTTTTAGTAGAGACGGGGTTTCACCATGTTGGTCAGGCTAGTCTTGAACTCCTGACCTCAAGCAATCCACCCACCTCATCCTCCCAAAGTGCTGGGATTACAGGCGTTTTCTTTGCAACAACTCTGGGAGAGAGATATTCTTATGCAATTAATGAATTCATTAGAATAGTTAAAACACATACCTAGCACTTAATTCTAAAAAGGCCAGAGGACTATACAGTGGAATGTGAAGTCTCATACCACTCCAATGCTTCCTCTCCTGAAATAACCACGGCTACCGCTTCGCTTCGTGTATATAGAGTGATACTTGAGTAATATGCTACTTTTCCTAAACAAGGCAAATGGGACCACACTATACATAGTTGTGCACCTTGCTTTGGGCACTTAGTATCAAGAATGATATTTTTGTCCTTATTTTATAAATGAGGAAATTGAGGCTCAGAGAAGTTGTCTTAGCAAACTGAGCAGAACTGACAATTCAGGTCTCTCTGACCCACGTCTCAGGTTTATTTTCTTTTCTCTTGTTGACACTTGAAAGCACAGGGATGCCTTTTCATCTATAAATAGCAGTGACTGCCACCAAGCCTGGGTGGATTTACAAAGCACCGGAAGTCCATCTTTTCCCCTTCCTTTGTGAATTCTTCTCCCACCTCCTAGAACTCTCTCCCAGCCCTAAGCTTTCGGTGCCCTCATACAACTCACAATGCCCTACTTTAGCTGTGTCCTTATTATAGGTCTCTATCCTTATGGTTTTCTCCAGAAATGCCTAATGCATCCCCTTCCAATTCTCTCTTCTTGACACCTCTCACTCAAGATCAGAAATTCTTTTTCTAAATAAAATAGCTAAGTATTGAGCTCTCTGGGGAAAGTACCCCACAAAGGGGAAAGGGGTGATCAAAGAACTCTGCAGGTGACGGCATGTGACTGCAGCTAGACAGCCACAGCCTTATCCCTCTTACTAGAAAGATGAGCTTATGACTCCAGCTGGGTCCTGTGGAAGGATTTTTCTAACTGAAGCTGGGGTGAAAGCCATCTCTTCGGGACCCTATAGGGCAATAGGTGTGAAGCTGCCTACAGCAGCTAGATGAAGAGAGCTCTCTTGCATTAGAAAGATGTAAGTTCACATGCAATGTGTTCAAGAAAGGCTTTCTGAGGGAATTTGAAGCTGAGATCCAAAGGACAAGTAGACATTAGCCAAGCGAAGGATGGATGGGTGGGTGTTGGGGGGTGTTGAGTACAGCATACAGGGGAGGGTCTTGGAGAAAACACGGCACGTGCAAAAGTCCAGAAGCAAGAGAGAGTATGTCACACTAGCTCATCTGCGGGAGGGCGAATGTGGCGGGAGTACAAAATGAGATGAGGAAACTGGAGAGGTGAGAGATGCTTGAATCCCAGAGCAATGCTAAGGATGTAGGCATGAACAGGAGGCCACTGGAAGCATAGGTTGGTTAGAAGGGGATGGAGGGACTGGACATTTCATGATGTGCCAGTCAGTGCTCCTGGTTACAAGTAATTGACCTGGGCAGCGGTGGAATTTAATGGGAGGACATTTATTGGCTAGTTCTGGAAACATCAGGAGGACTAGAGAACAGGAATTGGTAAATAGGCATAAACCCAAGGAGGCCAGGCAACAGAAACAATCCCACCAGGCATCGGCTACAGACACTGTTGTGCAATAGATCACTGCACGTTTGTCTTTTAGGGCCATCATTCTTTCTGCTGTTTGGGGAATGGAGGGGAAGTGGTGGTGGTGTGGTGGTGGGCAAACCGGCCACAATAAAATCAGATAAGAGGCTGTTGCAATAATCCAGACAGGAGAGATAGTGGTGGCCTGGACCATGGAAAAGGCAAATGGCAGTGTGGATGGAGAGAAAGGAATGGGTTCGAGAGATATTGATGACATTGAAAGTGTGTTGATGGGTTGGATGTGGTGGCTGGAGGCACTGAAGAAGAACAGGGAGTGAGGGGTGACACTCACGTCTGGCTCCGGCATCTTGCTGGCTGAGGGTGCCCTTCATTTAGAGAAGTGGTCCCCAATCATTTTGGTACCAGGGACTGGTTTTGTGGAAGACATTTTTTTCCACAGATGGAGTGGGGGTGGTTTCGGGATGGTTCAAGTGCATTGTATTTGTTGCGCACTTTATTTCTACTATTATTACATTGTAATATAGAATGAGATAATTCTACAACTCACTGTAATGTAGAATTGGTGGGAGCCCTGAGCTTGTTTTCCTGCAACTTGATGGTCCCACTGGAAGGCGATGGGAGACAGTGACAGATCATCAGGCATTAGATTCTCGTAAGGAGCAAGCAACCCAGATCCCTCACATGCGCAGCTCACAACAGGGTTCGTGCTCCTATGAGAATCTAATGCTGCTGCTGATCTGAGAGGAGGCGGAGCTCAGGCGGTGACGTGAGTGATGGCGAGCGGCTGTAAATACAGATGAAGCTTCGCTCACTCACCTGCCACTCACCTCCTGCTGTGTGGCCTGGTCCTAACAGGACACGGACTAATAATGGGGCTTGGGGACCTCTGATTTAGAGAACCCAGGAGGAGGAACAGAGTCCCTAGTAGGTTCACTTCACCCTCATTTTGCAGATGAAGAAACTTGGAGAAATTAAACATCCCACTCAGGGTCACATACCCAGTTAGTGGCACAGCCAAAATCCACACCAAACCTGTTTAAATAAAAACCTCATGCTCTGTATCTTACAACAGGGTGCTCTGAGTATCAGCATGGGAAGATCGCGGAGTAATCTATTAAAATCTCAGTACTACATTGACACGTCATCTTTTCCAAAGAAATATGACCAAGTGAAATTTTTAGCGGGAAAAAGTATTTTCATGGGAAAACAACTTGCTCGAAATTTTTCAGTCTGTGGCTGACACATTTATCTGCCCTTTCATTCTGCTTTATTCTGCACTGTTTACTGACGAAAGCTTCTCCTTATATTTACTTTTCTATCATTACTGTGATCGTACCCAGCATTTCTAAAGGCCATTGAAGTTTTCAGAGGAAAGGCAGTGGTTAGGTTAGCTACAGAAAAATGTCAGTTGCATATTATAAACACTTTGGCATTTACATTCATTTCTGTATTTAACAAATGCTTATTTTGTCCCTTCCATGTGTTCTAGGCACTGGAAACGCAGGAAAAGGGCAAAATAGCCCAAGTCTGTGCCTTCATGGAGCTTCCATTGTAATTGGGAGAAGTCTCTAGCAATGTACAAATAAATACATAATGTATTTGGTGGTAACAAGTGGTAGAGAAAACATAAAGCAATGTAGGGAGGTAGGAGATGTTGAGTGTCTAGGGTTGAAAGGTAGTTCTTATTTTATTAAGGCAATATTTGATAGGACTAAAGAAAGGGGGGTTAAGTCCAGAACATATCTGGAGCAAGAGCTTTTCTGGCAGAGAACAGAATGGCAAGAGCAAAGGCACGGTGACAAAATCACGTTGACCCTGTGTTTTACAACCACATCATACATTTCCTTCCCAAGTGTAGAGAACCGATAGAAGGGATGTAACCAGAAAATGATCTGAAGTTTATGCCTGATTCCCAAATATCCCTAAATATTTATACTCAATCTTGAAATATCAGATCATGTTCTAGAAAGATGCCTGGGAAAAAGAGGCCTTTAAATGAAAAGAAAAAGTTGAATTGCTTGTGTCAATAGACCTGGAAATTTTCTACCAAGTCCAAAACCTACATGCATATAAGTAGGGACAAAATTGGTCCTGTAAATCAGTAGTGAGGATTATTATTCTGGTTAGTTGCCAATGACTGTAGAATCAGCTATTTGCTAATTTTCTGTTCTCTATTGTCAGAGATAGGTACAAAATCAATACTAATTTTTAGTGTTAAATATAGAAATGGAACAACTGATACTTTTCAGTTATACTGATTCTTAAGCTACGGATGAAAGTGTTGAGTATTTTACATGGTTTTATTTAGGTTTAATGCTTCAATGATATTAAGAAACTTATTTTTAGTATGTTTAGTAGTCAAATGGCATGTCAAAAACCTGCACGGGACCATGGACACACTTCACTCAAACAATGTTAAGATCCTGTCTCATTCTTGGTTTGAAAGAAATTGTTTTTATTAAGCAATTAAGCATCTGGCTCCTTTTTGATTTAAGATATTAATTTGTGTTATCATTCTGTTTGAAGCTGCTGTCAAACTCATCTTGTTTTACTAAAGTTTCTTTTCTTTTTTTTGAGATGAGATCTCGCTATGTTGCCAGGCTGGCCTTGAAGTCCTGGGCTCAAGTGATCATCCTGCCTCAGCCTCCCAAGTAGCAGGGATTATGGGCACGAGCCACTGCACTTGGCCTCAGATTTTTTTTTTTTAATTTAGGAAAAGTTGCTAAATATATCCTTTCTAAGATGATAATGGTTTTCCTCCAATACCCCAATAATATGGTAAATAAAATTAGATTTTCTCATGTTGAAACATCCTTGCACCATAAGAATAAATAGTAATGGTTCTTGTGTTGTAATTTTGGGGATTTATGGTATATAAACTTTGTTCTTTCATTTGAATTGCTGAATAAACAAATAGATGTGGCCAGGCGTGGTGGCTGATGCCTGTAATCCCAGCACTTTGGGAGGCTGAGGCAGGCGGATCACGAGGTCAGGCATTCGAGATCAGCCCGGCCAACATGGTGAAACCCCGTCTCTACTAAAAATACAAAAATTAGCCTGGCGTGGTGGCACTTGTCTGTAATCCCAGCTACTCAGGAGGCTGAGGCAGGAGAATCGCTTGAACCGGGAGGCAGAGATTGCAGTGAGCCAAGATTGCACCACTGCACTGCAGCCTGGGCGAGAGAGTGAGACTCCATCTTAAAAAGAAAAAATAGATGTATATTTAATATCTGTCTTTGGGCCAGGCACGGTGACTCATGCCTGTAATCCCAACACTTTGGGAGGCTGAGGCGGGTGGATCACCTAAGGTCAGAAGTTCAAGACCAGCCTGGCCAACATGGCGAAACCCCGCCTCTACTAAAAACACAAAAAAATTAGCCGAGCATGATGGCCCACACCTATACTTCCAGCTACTCAGGCTGCTGAGGCAAGAGAATCGCTTGAACCTGGGAGGCAGAGGTTGCAGTGAGCTGAGATCATGCCACTGCACTCCAGCTTGGGCAAAAGAGTGAAACTCCATCTCCAAAAAAAAAAATCTGTTTCTGATACATATATATATTTTTGATCAGTGTAGTTTCCATGTCCTTTTCCTGTGTGCTTTTTCTTTTTTGCAATTGTCACCAGTTCAATCCGACATTGATTCAGATTTTTGCCATATAAGTTCTGCCAGATATTCTAAGTTCTGCAACATTTTTCTGTTTTGTTTTGCTTTAATGTTGTCAGTTCACTTCTCAACATATTCTACTGCCTTACTACCTCTTTTTCAGTTTTTCTTTCTTTGGACTTTCCTACCATAGTGTTTACATTATATTTAGTTTCCTGGGGAGTATGAAGTGATCTTGCTTAAATTTGTCTGCTGTTTCCTGGAGTAAGTCTCTTCCAACACATTTTCTTCACTTCCCTTTTTACTGGTTACATTTCTTTCCTTTTATCTTATATTTTCCAGAACATTTGCATAATTTCCTTTCCTGTCTGGTCATCTTTGAAATGTCATGTCTGTTCCTTTCTGCTACTTGCTAGGAATATTGTGAATGGAAATTCTCTGGCAGTCCTTCTTTTTTCTTTGTGCACTTGTTGAAATTTAGTTTTGCATTATGGGCTGGCTGTCGATTTTTTTTTCAGTTTACTGTTTATAGTTTAGGTTATATGGAATGAAGAGGTGGGGAAGAGAAGTTGGAGGAAGAAATTTGACAGAGTTTGACATATTATCTCTGCATGCTCACTCTCCACCCCTCAATCTGTTGAAACAACTGAAGTTTTGCCTGGTCTGACAGGGTCTAAAATTAGGCAGGATATTCTGACCCTGGGAGAGGCCAGTTTGGTGTGAAAACCGGTAAATCAAAAACTTTTTGTTATCAGATAGGTAGAACAGGTACTCATTTTTCCTTGGTAAATTGACTTTAGTCAGTAGCCACAACATTCTTTTGCAGCATCTCTCCCTCAGTTTAGCAGCATTTCTAGGTAACTAGCATTCCTCTGGCAAGAACGCTACATTTGCTGAAAACAGAAATGTTAGCTTCCAGCTCTTTTTTAATCTGGCAGCCCTGGCTATTCACACTGATTACTACTTGTTTTTACTGTGGTTTACTCGTAGCCTTTGCCCTTTCAAATTGAGAATTAGTAGGGCCTTAAAAACTTTTCTACTTTTTTTTTTTTTTTTTTCAAGAGACAGAGTCTTTCTCTGTCTCCCAGGCTGGAGTGCAGTGGCATGGTCTTGGCTCACTGCAACCACCGCTTCCCCGGCTCAGGTGATCTTCCCACTTCCCCTTGCCAAGTAGCTGGGACTGCAGGCACAAGCCACTGTGCCTGACTAATAAAAAAAAAAAAGATTTTTTGCAGAGACGGCGTCTTGCTGTGTTGCTCAGGCTTGTCTTGAACTCCTGGACTCAAGCAATCTTCCCGCCTCGGCCTCCCAAAGTGCTGGGATTACAGGCATGAGCCACCACACCCAATCAACTTTTCTACTTGTTTCCCACAAATATAAGATCATAAATAGAGGAGACATGTCTTGAAATTGGCATTCTTGTCCAATTAGTTCGCTTTAAGCAGGGAGTTTGTGAAATGGGATTGTTGCCATTTTATAGTCTTGAGATATTAATAAATAGTGTGCATTTCCCCTTTTAGTCCTTTATAGTGTTTTAAGTGCATTCCAAAGAGAGGGATTTAGGAAATGTGAATGTTTATATGTTAAAAATCTATTTTATAAAGTGAATAATAATTCTCATATTTAGTCCCGTAGTTTTAGTTATACTCTTTAAATTAAAACTACTTTATGCATAGAATTACTTTATTATTATTATTATTATTTTTTGAGACAGAGCCTCACTCCATCACCCAGGATGGAGTACAGTGGTGCCATCTCAGCTCACTGCAACCTCCACCTTCTGGGCTCAAGTGATCCTCCCACCTTTGCCTCTAGAGTCGCAGGGACCATAGGTGTGCACCACCATGCCCTGCTAGTTTTTTTTTCTTTTGGTATTTTTTATAGAGGAGGGGTTTTGCTATATTGCCCAGGTTGATCTCGAACTCCTAGGCTCAAGCGATCTGCCCACCTCAGCCTCCCAAAGTGCTGGGATTACAGGTGTGAGCCACTGCGCCTGGCCCCCAATCTTCAATATTCCACTAACAGCGGTCAAAAATCTGTAATAAGACATATTTGGAGAGATACTGAGGTCATTGATTTTTTCAAGTCATTTCTACTTTTACTTATGTCCTATGACTTATTGAAAATATGTAGTCTGGCAGGGCGCGGTGGCTTACGCCTGTAATCCCAGCACTTTGGGAGGCTGAGGTGGGCAGATCACGAGGTCAGGAGATCGAGACCATCCCGGCTAAAACGGTGAAACCCCGTCTCTACTAAAAATACAAAAAATTAGCCGGGCGTAGTGGCGGGCGCCTGTAGTCCCAGCTACTTGGGAGGCTGAGGCAGGAGAATGGCGTGAACCCGGGAGGCGGAGCTTGCAGTGAGCCGAGATCCCGCCACTGCACTCCAGCCTGGGCGACAGAGCGAGACTCCGTCTCAAAAAAAAAAAAAAAAGAAAAAAAAAAAAAGAAAATATGTAGTCTTGGTTATCATAGTCTTATAAACGTCCTCCCCAAGGTATAGCTTAATGTTATAAATGACCTATTGTCCTGTAGTCCTCACAAATCTTTAACGTTACAAAAACCAGTCAAGCAGTCTGAAACATCAGAAATCATCCTTTCTAAACAGAGAGGTAAAAATGTCTCCCGAATGAAGAAAAGAGTCTTTGGTGCATCAATTTTTTGTGCGTTTCTCACAGCATTCCTTTTTTTCCTTATATTGAAGATGTTCATATATACCAGTGAGATATATTTGTATCTGCTATGTATTTAGTGTGTATATACATAGTATACATGTATATGCATTCTATATACACATATTTATTTATATAGTGTGTGTATATATACACATAATCTATGTAGAGATATAGCATATCTATGTACACTCATTCACTGTTATATATCAGTAAGAATCTTCAATATAAGGAAAAAAATTATGGAGATACATTATAGCTATCAGTATATATACATACTATGTAAACAAATATATGTATATATAGTTTCTATACATTTATATTATATACATAATATATAATCATGTATATACACAATATAATATAATATACATAATATATATACATAATATTATATAACAATTTGCATATGCATAATTATATGGAATGTATATGCATAGTATATATATACATAATGTATAATGTATATATACATACATATATAGTATAATGTATCTAGTGTGTATATATACATTATATATTATATATGTAGTATATATTATGTATATATGTAGTATATACTATGTATATAATATATACATAATATGTATACATAATACGTATGTGTATACATAATGTGTATACACAATATGTATATAATGCTATATATTCTGTACATTATGTATTATGTATATAGTGTATATACATATATATTATGTATATATCAAATGTCAGGTAGACTCTTGATATTTGTGATTCATCTTTCTGAATCCCCAAATCCACACTTATGGAAATCTTACACGTTTCTAGCTTTCCCCTGAATCATCTTTTTTGTGGAAAGTCACTTGTTAGCCAAATAAGAAACCTTACACTCCAAATCAGAAACTTCAACTTTCAAGATTTCCATAGGCCTGGAGACTTTTTATATATCGAAACTTCCCAATCATTTTTTAAAAGTTATTTTATGAAGGTAAGGACATTCATGATGATGAATAAAGAATAACAAAGACAAAATGAGAGGCCCATGTGGAGTGGACTGGGTGAGTGAGGTAGGCTCGCCACTTACACAAGCTTGGGAGCAGCATCCGGATGTCAACCTGAGTTTACGTTTCAATTCCTGGCCTCAGCAGCATTTCAAATTACTACATGGCATAGATCTTTAGGGTTGCAAGTCAAGCCTGGAAATGTTAAGCTACCAAATGCACACTTTTCCAGTAGTGGTTCTATGGCTAATAATGTTAAGGTATCATTTTCTTGTCAGGTTTCTTTCTCTCTCAAGGATGAGCAAGATAATTCATATCTTACCCACCCAGGTCTTAAATTAGAAAGCTTGTGGTAAAGTTCCCTACTGTCAAATTTTAACACTGGGCTCAGAATTCCCATTGCAAATTTACACTTGTTTTTCCAATTAAAATGGGCTTTTGTGAGTCCCCTGCTGATAGCCATTGGCTTGATAAAAAGTAACTTCATTTGCAGCAAGGGTGTTTAGGGAACCCAGTGCAAGGCTGACTCTTCTGCTGTTGCCTTGAGCCCAGCTGTGCTGAAATATTAAACTTTAGTAAATTAGGTGAAATTGCAGCTTCCTGGCTGATACAATAATGCCTTTTTCTTTTTCTGCAAACCATGTTCAGCATTAGTTTTCTGCACAATTTTCTGCACTGAGATAAAAATTGGAATATCTTTCAAATCCAGGCAACTCTTCATTTTCTAGATGATTGTGCCATATTCTACTTATTTAACAAACGGCTTAAACTTTGAAATATGTAGAACTAGATTTCTGTATTATTCTATCACTACCTGAGTATAGCATTACTTTATGTCATACTCAGATGAAGCAACTGAATCCCTACAAATATTAGTTTTATATAAAAGTAGAAGCCTGTTTTTATTCCTGATTAGTACATATATTAACAGCAGTGATGAGCTATAGAAGGAAATCACATTCCTAGTCACATTTATTTTTAGTTTTTTTGCTCCATTTTCTCTTTAAAAATAACACTAGTTCTTATGTGCTTTTATTCATTGACTAAACATTTATTGATCAATTATTATGTGCAAACTTCTGTTTTGTATTCAACAAGATGTTTTTAGAGTAAATCCGGAATTAGCAGAAAGAGACTAGGGACACTGGTATCTCTTGCCTTGATATATGTTTTCTTGTGATGGAATCTTTGGTGACAGCTTTATTTGGCTGTCTGGCCTGGTTGCTCCCAAATGGCTCTCACTTGGGCCTCTTTCAGGTGAAGACCATATGCTTCTAGGAGATGTCAGTTGAAATATCATATTTTTGTTGCTTGGGAAAGTTAACTCATGAAAGCCTTTTCAAAATTGAAGTCATTTCAAAAGATCTTATCAAGGTACTCCCAAGATGGTGGAATCCAAGGGTTGCATTTGGAAAAATCTCGAAACTATACAAAAGTAAGAGTGAATAATTTTATAAGCCTGCATATAACCACAATGGAATTAAAACCTAGGGAAGTGGCTAAGTGGGGGCTTGGGCAGTCAGGATAGTTTAGGGCATAGAGAGTTGAGACCCACTTTTAAAAAAATAGAGAGCCAGTCTGTTTCATAGTGTCATTGGATCACTCTCCTGCAACAGATGAGATACTCGTAAATGAGATACTAACCAATATGATCTAGACCGTGGTTTAGTTCTGGCTGCCATAAGAAGGATACCATAGGCTGGGTGACCGAAAGAACAGAAATTTATTTTTCACAGTTCTGGAGGGTAAGAAACCCAAGATCAGTGTGCCAGCATGGTCAGGTTCTGGTGAGGGTCCTCTTCCTGCTTGGCAGAAAGCTGCCCTCGTGCTGTGTCTTTACACTGCACAGAGCAGAGAGAGAGGAGGCAAATTCCCCGCTGCCTGCTCTTATGAGGGAACTAATTCCACCAGGAAGCCTCCACCCCATGAACTAATCAGGTATGAAAGGCCCCACCTCCAGATACCACCACATTAGATTGGGGATTTGGGTTTCAACATATGAATTTTGTAGAGACACAAACATTCAGCCCATAGCAGTGTTAAAAGAAAAACATCAGACAAATTAAATTTAGCACAGTTTATTCGAGCAAAGGGTTCATGAATTGGGCAGCACTCACAACCAGAGGAGGTCCAGTGAGGTCCACCCCATGGTGTGAGCAGCAAAGCCTGATAGGCCAAACTCAGAAGCACAGTGGAGAAACTGATTGGCTATAGCTATGCAGGCTGCCTTGTGGGGCCTGGTATAATGAGTTGGTTGCCCATGATTGGCCAGTAGCCCCCTGTTCATTACAGCCTAATGTAGGTTTCCATTGTTAGGTGGGAACTCAACGTACAGAGACAGCCTCAAGCTAATGGCCTCTTGCTTATTTAAGAGCAGTATGCAAACTTTTCCTGGAAAGTTTCAAATGGTAAATATTTTAGGCCCTGTGGGCTATGCCACCTCTGTCATCACTACTCAATTCTGCCCTTGCAGCCCTAGATCATACAGCCATATGCAGTCACTGATAATACAAAGCCATGGGCATGGAGGTTTTCCAATAAAACTATTTGCAAATACAGGCAGGGGCTAAACGGGTCTCCAGGTAGTAATGTGCTCATGCCTAAAGGTCTCCTAGCCCCTCATACCAGTTCGCTGTCCCTCTGAATCTGGGTTGAAGTAAGCACAGGTTACTGCTTCTGTTCAGTGTCATGATCCACCCAGCAATTCCCCAGTCCCCAGCTTTCTTCATGCGTGGGAGGATCCAGCCAAGCGACTGCACAGTTTTGAAAGTTTTTGAAGCGGCCCCTTTTTCTCCTCTCCTCTCTCCGCAGGCAGAGTTGTGGTGTGGCTGGGTGGTCTGCGTGGGCGTCCGGGGGATTCGCGGGCACTCGGGACGAGGCGAGGGCGCAGAAAACTTGGAGCCCAATCAGCACGGAGTTGAGCTTCCGCGCCCCAACCTTCAGGTGACCCCGCGCGGCGGCGGCGGCAGCAGCAGTGGCAGCGGCGACCGGAGCCCGCAGCAGCTCCGAGCGCCTCCGGGAGGACAGGCGGCGAGCTCGGCGAATCGTCATCTGCCAGCCGATCGCGGCGCTCCGCGGGCCGGGGCCGGGAGCCCGGGGCGAGCCCGAACGCGGCTTCTTCTCCGCCCGCCGCGGAGACTCTGCCGGGTGGGCTGCGGGCGCCCCTCGCTGCCGCCTGTGAACGCTGTGGGTGCGCGGGGCTGCGGCCACGGCGGCGGTGGCGGCGGCGGCGGGAGCCGCGAGTCGGGGCCGCCCGGGCTGTGCTTCGCCCCGGCAGCAGCGGTGGCGGCGGCGCCTGTGGCTCAGGATGCGGCCGGGGGGCGCACTGCTCGCCCTGCTCGCCAGCCTGCTGCTGCTGCTGCTGCTGCGCCTGCTCTGGTGCCCGGCAGACGCGCCCGGCCGCGCCAGGTAACCCACCCACCCGCCGGCCGCGCCCCGCGCCGCGCGCCCCGCCTGGCGCCCCCGGACCCCCAAGCCGCCCATCGCTTCCCCTCGGGCGCGGAGACTTTTGGCCGCGGCGGGGAGCAGCCCACGGGCGGCGACGGCCTGAGAGTGGAGTGGGGGAGGGGGTCGCAGGGAGGCGACCCTCCGACCGGTGGACGGCGGCTGGGGAGCAGAGGGACCGGTCAGGGCTGCGGGGGCTCTAGCGCGCATCGCTGTGGGCGAGGCAGCTGTGGAGCGGGACCTGCCGTCGGGTTCCGCATCAGGATCTCATGCTCCCCATTCTGGTCCTTGCTGTCTCTTCCTTCCCGCCCTAAGGCTCTTCCAACTCTGGGGCTGGGGACCTGGCCTGGGAGCCGGGGAGTGCGAGATCTCCCTGCCAGGCAAGGAGCGCGACTCCCAGCCTTTCAGCCAACAGCTCCCGGCGGGGTGTAGCAACTTAAGTTTTCTCCCCGGCTGTGCAGGATTCTGGTGGAGGAAAGCAGGGAGGCCACCCACGGCACCCCCGCAGCGCTGAGGACGCTCCGGAGCCCGGCGACCGCGGTACCGCGCGCCACTAACAGGTACAGCGGCGCCCAGCGCGGGCGGACTGGGGCTCGGGAGCTGCGAGCCGGGCATGGGGCGCGGCTGCACCGGCTTGGACTCGTTGGGAGTAGGCAGGCTGGGACGGCGCGAGTGAGTGTAAGAGTGTGCGTGTGTTTGAAGAGGGCGCGGGGTTGGGGGGGGGCACCCTTCACACTCCCTCAACCCTCTAAGCCTGGATGTGAATGGTCTTTGAATCAAGGGGGATCCTCCAGCAGCTGCATTTGAAAAACGGGTGCTGAGTTTTCCTCTCGACAATGGTGTGTTGAAAGCACCCCCGCCCCCGACCCCGCCACCTTTGGAGAGAAGCAGCTCAGCCTGTCTTTATGGAGGGATTTGGTTGGTTTGCTTTTTCTTTTCTATGCTTTAAAGGGCACCGGTGTTAAGATTCAGGTTTGTTTTGCGTGCTAGGAATGATTTTGTCCTTAGTGACTGGAGGCTTAAATTTTTTTTCTTATCATTCACATGTGTTTTTATTCATAGGCAGTAATTGTTTTTTTTTCAGATTGTAAAAGTAATACAGCTTTGTGCAGAAAGTTAGAAAATAGAACTGTATAAAAGAAAATGTTATTCATTCAGAGTCCTTACCTCTCAGAGACCATATTCAAGGTGGTTTTGGTCTATATTTCTTCCAGTAGTCTTTTCTATATACATATATTTCAAAAATATAACTTAGATTATACATTGCAGTTTATGTTCTGCCTTTTTTCTAAAAATCCTAGACCTATACCTGTCATTACATTCCCCTCCCCCCACAAAAACATTGCTTTGGATTGTTGCATAACTTATTATCTGAACATGCCATAATCTATTTAATAGTTTCCATTTTCAGACATTTAGGTTGCTTCTTGTTTCTGTTTTATTTTGTTTGCCATCAGTAATTCTATGAAATGCATCCTTGTATGTAAATCTTTATCTTCATTTCAAATTAATTACCCAAGATGGACAGACAGGAGTTGAGATTAGTAAGTCAAAGAGTATGTACTCTTTAGATTCTAAGTCACATTGTCAGTTGCTTCCTCGAAGGGCTGAATCAATTTACATTTTCACAAGCAGAATGTACTGCTTCCTGCCTTAGCATTGCTATTATGATTGCAATCTGCTATACGGTCTCTTTTCCTCTTTTTATCTCTTGCAAATCCCTTTTCTTCTGCGTATGCTTCTCTATATTCTTGGCTCTTGGATCCACCTTAATCTTCTGATGGTGTAACTCCAGGAAGCTCTAGCACGGCTCTAAGAAGGGTCTGGAAGTGGCTGGATAAACCCTGAATTGAGGAACACCACTGCCTGCCACCCCCTCATTGGAATTTCACAGCATATTAGAGGCACTAGGACCTCCTGGAGTAACAAAAGCTTTTGAGAAAAATAGTGTCCTATAGTTTTATTCTATTCAGGTTGGTGTACTATAGGTAGCCTAGCTTTCTTGATGAGCTGAGAAGCATTCCATCTTTTCCCGAGTCCTGTGGCTATTACACATTCGAGGGTTGACCCTTGGGGAAAGTTGGAAAGAATGTACTCATTAAATGGTTTGATCTCAGGTCGTTTTTAGAGGTAATCTTTGATGAATTTTTCACTTTCTTTTGACATACTTCTTTTCTACTTGGCATACTTCTTGGGCTAATATAGGTAACTCATAATTCTGAATATGGCCCATTTTATTAAGCTTTCTAAAATTTATACCATTCTGTGTTTGTAAAAGCCTCTTTATGTTTTGATTTATTTTATGTCCCCTTTATCATTTATGATTTTGGTTATTTATGGAGCAGGGGTGCAAGTTTTAATCCACCATACTACTTGGTTGTATAGAGAAATTGTAATTTCTTCATTTTTCTGGAGCTGGTCTGATCTTCCCACATGAGCCTCATGGTAATAATGCTGGTAGGAATAAGGAGAGCCAACAGTTAATGAACTCTTCTTATGGGCCAGACACTGATCTAAGCACTTGACATTTTTAATTTAAAAATTTTTCAAAATAGGTTTAGGGGGTAAAGTGCATTTTTGTTACATGGATATATTGCCTAGTGGTGAAGTCGGCATTTTAGTGCAACCGTCACCCAAATAGGGTGTACTCATTGTACCCAATGGATAATTTCTCAGCTCTCCCCTCACTCTCACTCTCCCACCTTTCTGTGTCTCCAGTGTTTATTATTCCACAATCTGTGTCTATATGTACACATTATTTAGCTCCTATTTATGAGAACATGTGGTATTTGACTTTCTGAGTTATTTCATGTAAGAGAATGGCCTCCAGTTCCCTTCCTGTTGCTGTAAAAGACATTAAATCCTTCTTTTTTTATGGCTGAGTTCTAGTATGTGGTACATATATGCCACATTTTCTTTATCCAGTCCTCTACTGAGGGACACTTAGGTTGATTCCATGACTTTGCTGTTGGGAATAAGCACTTTACATTTAATTCATTGAATCCTTAAGAAATACTAAGACAAACTATTGTTATTCTAATTTTTACAGAGGGGCAAATCGAAGCAACAAGATGAAGTAAATTGCCCACAGTCACAGAGTTAACACATTGTGGAGCCTGGAGTGAAACCCAGGCCAGGAGAATCCAGAATCCCACACGTTTAATCTCCCACTGTGTTGCCTGCCATAGGTGCTGGGAAAGATGGTGTGTGTGTGTGTCTGTGTGTGTGTGTGTGTTCAAATATTCAATCCAGGCAAAAGCTTAGAGGTGACAATTGAAGAGACTCTTTCTGGCAATATTTGTTCTTTCTGAGGAAAAATGCCCAGGCTCTCGGATTGCTCCTACCATCTCATCTCACTTTAAGATGCTATCCAAGTAGGCCGAGCACGGAGGCTCAAGCCTGTAATCCCAGCACTTTGGGAGGCAGAGGTGAGTGGATCACTTGAAGTCAGGAGTTCGAGACTAGCCTGACCAACATGATGAAACCTTGTCTCTACTAGAGGATACAAAAATTAGCTGGGTGTGAGTGTGTGCACCTGTAGTCCCAGCTACTCAGGAGGCTGAGAGGTGAGAATCGCTTGAACCAACGAAGGGGAGGTTGCAGTGAGCCAAGATCATGACACTGCACTCCAGCCTGGGTGGCAGGCCAAGGCTCTGTCTCAAAAGAAAAAAAGAAAAAGATGACATTCAGGTATATTAGGGAGGGGGCCTTAGGTGATGCAGCGGTCAAGAGTTGAAACTCATGATTATGGTATCTTTTCCTTCTAATCTACAGGGTGATGTTGATCCTTTTCCATCCGGTGTCCAGGCACTCTGTTGAGAGCCAACGATAAGATCTGCAGCTTGTGGCTCTTTCTTTTCCCTCAGGTGTTGCACCTGCTGTTGCTCCTGGCTAGTCTTGTCCTCACCTCAGATCCTACTGATGTTACCTTTCAGGGATCTAGCAAAGATTCTCTTCTGATCCTATCTTGGGTTGTCTCTCTGCGACATTTGCTATGATGCTACTCACTCAGCTGTTGCTAGCTAGCTCCACAGCCACCTCTCACCTATTTCTGGGCCTCATCTAAACATATAAAAACCAAAATTGGTTCAGAAAACTAAATATCATGGCCTCCCTCTACTTGCTCCAGCAAGTAGATGTGACCCTACTCTTAGTTATCTCAGGATGGAGTGCTGCCCAAGAAGTGATCTATTTCAAAATCCTGATTGGAGGAGGAAGCAAAGCTTTTTTGTCCTTGTTATTACTCTTGTCACTAGCTTTTTATTGCCCCCATCTTTCTCCCTCTCTGAGCCAAAACTTTCCTCTTTCTTTTTTGCTCTTCTGCTCCTACTGACTCAGTTCCAGAAATTTGCAGGCTTCCCTGTTTCATATTCTATTTGCCCTGATGCAAACCTCCAAGTCTAACTCAAGCTCAAGCCTTAATGATAAATTGTGGGGACTAGAGGCAAAGGATTGGGGAAATTCAAGGAGCTGTGTCTTCCAGGTAAGATGGTTAATGTGCTAAAGTGGGAGAATGAAAAGAATTTGGAATATATTCTCTTGAGGCTGCAGAAAATTCTATTTTACTTGTCTAAAGTGGATTATTACCTTATCTTCTCTTTTTGCATTCTTTCAGGAAAAAGTCTTAATCTCTTCTTCCTCCCTGCAAAGATGTTTCAAGTGGTCTAGGGTAAGGTCATATACTCAGAAAGACAAAAGAGAAAATAAACTAGTAGTTTTCAAAATATCACCCCATTACAATGGATCCTTTCTCTTGCTAATAAGCTTTGTCAAAGTTTTTCATTGGCTTTCTTGTTCTTTAAATAACCAGCTCTTGGATTTATTTCTCAATTTATATATATTTTCATGTTCTATTTCCTTTGTGGTACTTTTATCTTTTAAAATATTCTATTTTTTCAACTTAATATCTTGAAATGAATACTTGATTTATTTATGTTATTTTTCCTCTTTTTTGTAACAAAAATATTTAATACTATGAATTTTCCATTGAATGCAGCTTTGGACTCATTTCTTCAGTTTCTATATATGTTTAGATTTTTAAAAATACATTCTAAACTGTTTATAATTACATTTTAGAACTTTTTGTTTATCTTCAGAGTCATTTAGGTGAAGACTTTGAATATTTTATTCTAAAATATTATTTTCTTAAATAATATTAATTTCATTTTGATTATGAAAGAAGCTCAATAAAACCCTGCCGGCCGGGCGCAATGGCTCACGCCTGTAATCCCAGCACTTTTGGAGGCCGAGATGGGTGGATCAAAAGGTGAGGAGATTGAGACCATCCTGTGAATGGTGAAACCCTGTCTCTAACAAAAAAAAAAAAAAAAAAAAAATTAGCCTGGCGTGGTGGCGGGCACCTGTAGTCCCAGCTACTAGGGAGGCTGAGGTGGGAGAATGGAGTGAACCCAGGAGGCGGAGCTTGCAGTGAGCCGAGATTGTGCCACTGCACTCCAGCCTGGGTGACAGAGCGAGACTCTGTCTCAAAAACAACAACAACAACAACAAGAACAACAACAACAATAAAAACCCTGCCATAATGCCATAAGTGAGTACCCAAATATCCAATCATTAGAAATGAGGGGTTGAATTATTGGGAGATTAATGAAACGGCCCGCACAAGCTTGTGTAACTAGCTAATTTGGAGTTCCATGGGAACATCCATGTCTTGGCTATGATTTGGCACCTTTTGGTGGCAGCTGTCCACTTTGGCTTTAAACATCTGTGGTGATGATTTGGGATTGTGTGGCTGGCCGTGACGTCCTGGACAGCAACTGCTGTTATTCTTTGAATGTCCTGGTTAGTTGGTGTCTGTTTCATTGGCCCATCTGTGATGATTGAACCATGAGTTTACCAGAGACGGGGGACCTCACCTTCATGTCTCTGTTTTCCTATAGAGGTTCGCCTGCTATTTATCTTAATGGCCTTTCTCTCCCTTTCCTGTGGTCCTTTTCCTCTGCAGAAGGACTTTGGCCTCTACTTGCTAATTGGTAAGGCTAATTAGAAATCCTCAAACTAGGCCAGGCACAGTGGCTCACACCTATAATCCCAGCACTTTGGGAGGCCAAGGCAGGCAGATCACTTGAGGTCAGGAGTTTGAGACCAGCCCAGCCAACATGGTCAAACTCTTGTCTCTACTAAAAATACAAAAATTAGCCAGATGTGGTGGCGGGTGTCTGTAATGCCAGCTACTCAGGAGGTTGAGGCACGAGAATCACTTGAACATGATCTCACCAAGATCGCTCCACTGCACTCTATCCTGGACAACAGAGTGAGACTCTATCTCAAAAAAAAATTTTTTTTAAATTTTAATATTAGTTAAATTAATCTACATAGTTTTTGGGGTCATGTGGCAAAGGGGTGGACTTTTTAGTTAGTAATTATTATTTTATTATACACTTTTTCCTATGAAAATTATTTTTTGATTTGAATTGAGTTATTGCTTAACAACCTAGTACTATTTAGATTATCTTTTCATTGCTTGGAATTTATCATTTTAAATGATCCCCTCCTCATTTCTTCAGTTCTTTGTTCTTTATTTCTTTCTTGGTCATAAGCTTGGTATTTATTTGCATAAGTCTAATATTTTTAGCATTGGAATATGGATTATAGTCATGAAACTTTAGATATTTGAGGGCACTTTTTTTTTTGGTAGTTCATGAAAGCTTTCCTTGTATTTTAAGGACATAATTCTTTTTGTTTTTTTTCTTTTGAGAAGGAATTTTGCTCTCGTTGCCCAGGCTGGAGAGCAGTGGCGCAATCTTAGCTCACTGCAACCTCCGCCTCCTGGGTTCCAGTGATTCTCCTGCCTCCGCCTCCTCAGTAGCTGGGATTACAGGCCCACACCACTGCACCTAGCTAATTTTTATAAAGATAGGGTTTACTAATTTTTAGTAAAGATGGGGTTTCACTATGTTGGCCAAGCTGGTCTCCAACTCCTGACCTCGTGATCCAGCCCCCTCGGCCTCCGAAAGTGCTGGGATTACAGGCATGGGCTACTGCTCCCGGCCACAATTCTTATTTTTCATACATGGATTCTGTTATTTGATCACAGCTTTATTATTTTTTCTCTTTTTCTTTTTTTTTTTTTTTTTGAGACAGAGTCGGTAATGGCGCTATCTTGGCTCACTGCAACCTCTGCCCCCAGGGTTCTAGCAATTCTCCTGCCTCAGCCTCCCAAGTAGCTGGGAATACAGGCAGCATCTGCCACCACGCTCAGCTAATTTTTTTTTTTTTTGGTAGACACCAGGCCAGTCTTGAACTCCTGACCTCAGGTGATTCACCTGCTGCAGCCTCCCAAAGTGTTAGGATTACAGGCATGAGCCACCGCTCCCAGCCCTTTTTTTCTTTTTATTCTTAAAGCTTTGTAGACATTTTTCCTCTATTTTGTGAAGTGAATCTTTGTTTTCTGTCTCGCATAGTTCTTATTCTGCCTTTTCTTCACCATCCCCTCCCCAAGTTAATAACTTTATTTCTCTTTCAGATTTTGGCTTTGTCTTTTTCCTCTGCTTTCTGGGATGGCTTCTCAAATTTGTCTTCCATGTTACTGAATTACTTTTCCGAAGTGTCACTTCTCTGTTGTGCTCTATCAAAAACAGTAAATTGGTTACATTTTTATTCTTTACAATTATTTTCTTCTCTCAGCCTGAACCTTACTGTATCAGTTTACATCTCAGAAAGCATTTAAGTAGCCTTTTACATCTCACTTTCCATTTGTTATTTTGTGTTTTCTTATATTTCATTGAGTCCACCAAGGGAATGTTTTCTAAAGATTTCCTGTTTCTTGTAGTTAACTGTTTTTCAAAAGTATGATTTTTCTCTGCATTTTAAGAGCAATAGCCTCCTCCTACATTATAGAATATTTTCATAAGTTTTGTGATTTTTTTTGTTTGTTTTCGACCTAGATGTCCTCAAGTGAGGAGTCCTCTGTCCCACTATGCTTATCAGATTGGAGGACTTAGGACTTGCTGCTGTCCACCTCAGGGACTAAAAGATTTCCCTTTTTACAGCATTATGGATACCAGAGCCATATACCCCTTAAACAAATCTCTGAATGTTTAAAGTTTGAGTTTTTTTTTTTAATTGTGATAAAATACACATAACATGAAATTTACTAATTTGAATTTTTGGATACCAGACCCCAAAACTATCTCTTGCTCTCATGCCTTGGTTTCATGACTGTCAGAAGTACATGCATTCCTAGGTGATCCTGGTCACCCTGACCTGCCGCTGCTGCCAGGAATGGTACGTGACAAATGTCATCTAATAACCCTGGGAGGGCTGGGTCCACCAGGCTGTCCCAGTATCCACCACCCTCTTCCTATCCTCAGGGTGCAAAGGCCAATTCACTCCCTTTCCCGTTTCCTTTCATTCTTTCAGTGTTGCTGTATTATGTAGTACGATACAATAGAATATAATGTAATCAACATGTAATCTCAAGAGGATGTAGGAAGACAGAAATGAAGGGGCACTGGGGACAGAGGCACCCAAGCAGCCCTTTCTGCCTCAGGCAGCAGATCCCTTCCTGTGTGGGAGAAGCTACCTGATTTTCCAGTTGGGGCAGGCTCTCTATTCTTTGGAAAAGAAAGGCAGACGGTGGGAGGAGAATCAAAACCTCTCTAGTTTTTTTCTCCCTGGACCTGGTCTGTTTCTGAGGTGAAAATTTACATCAGCTGCTGGTAATTCCTCAGAGTGGTTCCATATTTGCTTTTGTTAATAATATCTCTTCCCCAAGCCAGATAAATTTCTGAAGCAGCTGATCTGTTGCCACCGAAATGTGCGCTTGTCATTTTGTGTAGACTTGTGTCTGTTCGTAAGAATGTAAATAGTCTGGAAGAGAGAAAATCAGGCACTGTTTACTCTCTGCTGTCTTATATTGAAAGTTGTAATAATGTTTTATTTGACATTTTTTGTTGTATATGTTCACAATGGGATCATAACTACAGGCTTCAGAAAATTCAAGATGAGTGTGAACTAGAGCTTGAAAAAAGAAAACTAACCCTAACTCTAGAACACTTGATTTTTACCCTTTTACCACTTTCCTTTCCACCTCATGCTCCAAATAGATGAAGGCTATTAGATTTTACTTCCAAGAGCAATAAAAGGTTTTTCACTGTTGTGTCTTTGCTTTTTGAAGTAATGATACGAATATGTGTTCTGATTTTAAAAATTCAGAATGCTTTAAAGCTGCCTTGAGTCTGGTTTCTGAAAAGCTTTGAAATGGGCTTAAATCTTGCATTCTGCTTCTTTTTCTACTTCCTAATTCCATCTTAATTGCAACCCTTCTCTTTTAAGACTCAGAGGGGTTTCTCCCCCATCTCTGTTCTGATGTGACTTGCTTTTCTCCTTGCCTTCCCTGTTTGGAAATGGGTTTCACATTTGCTTCCCAGGTTGACATTTTTCAGTGCTTTCATTCTTTGTCACCTCTCTGGCTGCTCTGCTCTGGAAAAGCTATCAGGTGCAATTGTCCGGGGCAGCTGGCCCAGGTAGAGGGCTACAGAGTATGGGCTGCAGTCACCCCTGAGCTTCTGTGGGTGTCTTTTCACGTGCACAGGAGAGCCAGGGAGAGCTTGAAGGACACAAGGAAATGCCCTGCTATTGCCTTTCCTCTGTGGACTGGGTAGAGGAACAGGGCAGCAGTTCATGAAGAAATGGTGTCTGAATGACCCACCTCCCATTTCAGAGGTTGTTGGAGGTGGAATTTTATTTTCTGTCTCACTCATATAACTCTACTACTTACTTGACAGCACTTCTCTTAACAAAGAGGCTGGGATGTTTCTTTTTATGACTCACGAGGCAACGTTCGACAGACAATACCGTTTACACACATATGTCAAAGCAAAGGTGGTTTCCCTGCAACAAAAATCAAGACTTCCTTAGTTGGGTAGCGTTGTCTGGTCTTGTGTATTAATTCAGTGTCTCCTTATTAGACATTTCCTTTAAGGCAACAGGCATTAGCATAAATGTGAAAGAAGAAAAAAAACCTGACTGCCCAGGGGAGGCAGGAAGGATATCTTTGGAGGGGTGGTTATAGAGAAACACAGACATTTTGGCCTATTAGGTGCTAACGCTGGAAATAACGAGACCAGAGGCTTGGTTACAGCAGAAGGGATATGAAAGGAAGAAAAGGAAAGAAATATATCCCCTCTTTTGCAAGGTGCAGCGATTCCTTTTAGAGTCAGTAGTCTTCAGCTGTTCTGTGATCTAAGGGTGCGAGGGTTCTGTAATCTCTCATTTGCAGGGCAAAAAGAGAAGCCCTTTAAAAAGCCACGGATGGTTTGGTAAACATGAGAAAGGTGCTCTTTTCTTCCCCGATGCCTTGTTTTATAGCTTCCTTTGCCATTAGGAAGATGATCATTGCTGTAGTACATTTATCTACATACACTTAGGAGTTTAGCTTGTCCAGGGCAGCAAAGCCCATCTTTTCTATGTCCTCAGATTTAAACAAATTTATTATGATTTTTCACCAAGTACTAAGAATGATTTGTACATGCTGTAGATAATCAGTCATTAATTCTGGGGAACATTCATATCCATGGGCATAATTATTTCTAAAGATAATTTTATAGGGCACAACCTGTGCTTTTGCAGTTATTGTAAAACAATTTTTGTTATCTTGCTAGTTATTGTTGTTATTGTAAAATACACCGAAATTCTCTACCGTATAATTTTTAAATGCAGCATTCCCAGAAATTGAGGTTGTAAAGAGACCATTAATTTTGCAAATGATTAAAGTCTCTCACTGGTTGCTGGAACCTCTGTTGGAATGCTGTCTTTAGAAGCTGCATTTGGATTCCATATATTCTTTTTTTGAGATTATATCCCCTTATTTCCTAACTCTATAAAATAAATGTGTGATTCCAAAACCTGGTGTTTGCCAGGTATCTTCTAAGTCTATAATACGTATTTTATAATATTGTTGGTACTTTGCTATTTCAGGAGGACACCTATATCCTACATATTTATATTTGCCAATGTTGCTTTACTGTTTGCACATTAAGTTGTGGGCATATTTTTGTGTTTTTGAGCTGGGAGTCCATCCAACACACCATGTTCACTTTGGGTATACCAAAGTATTTACGCTTCCTATATCTAGGGAACATTATACATGCAATAGATTGTAGTTCTGGGAAGTCGAAGCCTTGTCTATCTTTTTCACCACTGACCCCATTTATAATCTAGAACAGCAGCTTTTTGGGATTTGAGTTTTGTTGCCTTGTCTAGGTTTTTGGAGGTGCACTTTACCATGTTGTATTACAGGATGGATAGACAGTGAGATTTACGTGACAAAATAGCCTGAGTTTATAGTTGTGTGCTTATGTGTAAGCATATAAAATAACATTTTCTAATTGGAAGAGGATGATTTAAACCTGCAGAGTTGAAAACCCATATCTATAATTATTTCTTAAAGGCAGACTGTATATTAACAAAGAATTTGAATAATAAGCTGGTATAAAGTCTTATGATATTTGTACTTAGGAGAATTTTTTCAAATAAATAATTTGGAGATTAATGATCACATATCTCTTCAGTCAATGCTAGCACTCGCTTCTGTAGGATTTTGAACACTCTTTGAAAAGCTACAGATCAATGGAAACTTTGTATAGAAATGTAACTTTAGAAAAATAATGATTTTAAAAAATGCATCTCCAAGGCAGAAATTAGTGTTACTCAGGTTTATTCTGGGCTGCTGCTAGACAATCCTTTTGAAGAAAAATGGCACATTCTAAGCTAAAAAGTGTTCACATAAATTTTTTGATTTTGTCGTATATCACTACTCACATATGTGAGTAGTAATATTGGTTTCTTGGGCTGGTTTCTTGGAAAAAGCTGTAACAACCTGGAAAATATTGCATTTACCAAACATTGCCCACTGTATAAGGTTTCTTCCATTTTCCTTAAGAGTGTGTTTTGGCAGAATGAGACACATATAACATTTTAAAAGATTGTTTTGGCCGAGTGCAGTGGCCCACGCCTGTAATCCCAGCACTTCGGGAGGCCGAGGCAGGTGGATCACGAGGTCAGGAGTTTGAAACCAGCCTGGCCAACATGAGGAAACCCCATCTCTACTAAAAATACAAAAATTAGCCAGGCGTGGCGGCAGGCACCTGTAATCCCAGCTACCTGGGAGGCTGAGGCAAGAGAATCGCTTGAACCTGGGAGGTGGAGGTTGCAGTGAGCCCAGATCACACCACTGCACTCCAGCCTGGGTGACAGAGCAAGACTCCATCTCAAAAAAAAAAAAAAATTGTTTTATATCGTCTTTACTATAAAAACAATAAAAATTAGAGCTTGTGTTTAGGGCCAATTTCAAATGTGGAACTTTCAGATAAGTCTTTTTAATAAATGTAATTTTATTGAGTTTGACAGATTCTTTCAAATGAAACTTAATTAAATTAATTAACAAATTTAGAGGGTGGGACTTCCAGATGGTGGAGCGAGGATAGTTTTCAACAAATGGTGCTGGCACAATGGGATCTCTATAAGCAAAAAGATAAGTTTAGATCCAGGGGCCGGGTGCAGTGGTGCACGCCTGTAATCCCAGCACTTTGGGAGGCTGTGGCAGGTGGATCACTGGAGGTCAGGAGTTCGCGAGCAGCCTAACATGGTGAAACCCTGTCTCTACTAAATACAAAACAATTAGCCAGGCATGGTGGTGCATGCCTGTCATCCGAGCTACTTGGGAGGCTGAGACAGGAGAATCGCTTGTACCTGGGAGGTGGAGGTTGCAGTCAGCTGAGCTCGCGCCATTGCACTCCAGCCTGGGAAACGAGCGAGACTCCGTCTCAAATAAATAAATAAATAAATAAATAAAGATAATTTAGATGCTTACCTTACACTATACACAGAAGAATGGTTTCCACATGGATCACAGACAAAAGCTACAGACAGAAAATGTCCAAAAGAAAACATACAAGAAAAATTTTAGAAGCTTGGATCAGGTAGCATTCTTAGATGTGGCACCAAAAGCATAATCAATAAAAGAAAAATTTGACAAATTATATTTTTCCTAAATTAAAAAAAAGTTTGTGCTTCAACAGACACCATTAAGAATATAAAAACATAAGCCATCCACTGAGAGAAGATATTTGTATATCATACATCCAATAAAAGACTTGTATCCAGAATATGTAATGAACTCTTGCAACTCAATTAACAAGAAGACAACCCCAGTTTAAAAATGGGCAGATGTGAAGACCTATCTTCAGCAAAGAAGATAGACAGATGGCTAATAAGCATGTGACAAAATGTTCTACATCATTAATCATTAGGGAAATGCAAACCAAAACCCCAATAAGATACAACTCCATGTCTTTTATAATGACTTTTGTAGCAATGCCACCGTGACATGGAGAAGGCTTCCTCCCAAGGTTAGCTTCTACTGCCGAAGCTCCTGACAGTGGTTCTTTAGCGGGATCACAGAAAGGTTTATTACTCACATAGGCAGGAAGTCCTGGGGTAGGGTTAGAGGAGGATAAGAAGTTTTAGAACACGGAGAGTGCATAGCCGGTGTAGTGCACAGGAGTTTTGTCTACTCCTTATGAATGTATGGATAGCCCTAAGACCTTGAGGCAAAGTTTAACATTTGAGAAACTATTACAAATTACATTTGAGGCTGGGTGCGGTGGCTCACACCTGTAATCCCAGCACTTTGGGAGGCCGGGGCAGGTGAATCACTTGAGGTCAGGAGTTCGAGACCATCCTGGCCAACATAGTGAAACCTCGTCTCTACTAAAAATACAAAAATTAGCAGGGTATGGTGGCGGGCGCCTGTAATCCCAGCTACTTGGGAGGCTGAGGCAGGAGAATTGCTTGAGCCCGGGAGGCGGAGTTGCAGTGAGCTGAGATCATGCCACTGCACTCCAGCCTGAGTGACAGAGTGAGACTCTGTCTCAAAAAAAAAAAAAAAAATACATTTGAGAAACTATTGAGTTGAGAAACTATTACAAAACTGACTAAAAATCAGTATCCCTTTGCCTCCAGGAGTTGTGGAGTAATTTCCTATTGCTTATGATTATGAAAGCCGTAGGCACTGTCATCCTGAATCCCATAGTTATACCCCATTCAAATTGCTGTAATGGAGTGAAGCCAGAGCTGGCATCTGATTTAAGATTGTTGGCACTGGGAGTTTATTTAAGATCTTCCTTTCCTCGTTGGAAGATCCACATAGTTCTAGGGAGTGTTGAATCTTTGTTGTACAATTGAAAATACCTCCATTTGTGTTCATGAACTTTGTAGGAACAGCTGCATAGATATTTTATTGCTCTAATGATTTCTAATGAGCCATTTCCTCCTGGGAGATAGCCTCAGCATGCCTTGTAGTGATTCCTCTTCTTCACATGCCGTTGGCCTGGGAGTCTCTAAATTGACACGTGGGAAGTGGGGGTAAAGTGAGCCTTGTTAGGATTGTGCAGGAGGCGACAGACACGGTGGGGAGATGAAGCTTAGAGATTGCTGGCACCAAATCAGACATTCATGGAGGTCCAAGTGCAGCTACTTTGGAAAAGAGTTTGGCAGTTTCTTAAAAAGTTAAACATATGCTGGACATGGTGGCTCACGCCTGTAATCCCAGCACTTTGCTGAGGCCGAGGCGGGTGGATCACCTGAGGTCAGGAGTTTTAGACCAGCCTGGCCAGCATGGCAAAACCCTGCCTCTACTACAAATACAAAAATTAGCAGGATGTGATGGTGGGTGCCTCTAATTCCAGCTACTTGGGAGGCTGAGGCACAAGAATCACTTGAACATGGAAGGCGGAGGTTGCAGTGAGCCAAGATTGCACCACTGCACTCCAGTCTGGGTGACAGAGAGAGGCTCCATCCCCAACTCCAAAAAAAAAAAAAAAAAAAGAGAGGGAAGAAGCACAGAAAGTAATAATGCATGACCTGTAAATCACATGTAGTGAGATGTGTAAAAAGCTGAATACCTAAACACTTGAGATATGAATCTGAAAAGCTGGAAGAGGAAGAAATGAAATTATCATTTTAAATGAAGAAGATAGCATTTTCAACTTGAAATTAAGTAGAAACTGTAAAACTGTAAAAAGCTGTAGTTTGGAAGGTGGTTTGTGTTTTTTATTTGCCATAATATGTCATCTTATGGAGGCTGTGAAGCACATTTTGGGTAAAGCAGTCTGAGTCAGTGACCAACACACTGGATTGAAAAAGAATTGTTAACTCTGAAAATGTGACTGAATTATGTGAAGAGGCTCAAAAGGTAAGAGTTATTCTAACAAGGTCTGTGCAATATTCTCTTGGTCTTAATCCCTTTTCCTCAAAGATGAGAGTTTGCCTTTCCTTTTAGTACAGAGGAAGTGTCTTTTACATGGGAATTTAATCTTTTGCTTTTAATAAATACCGCAAAGGTCAAAATGATTTTCTTTGTTATCTTCTGGTTTCCAAGTGTCTTTACTTAAATAGTCAGTATGACAGAATAGCTGAGGAGTTTTGGAAAAAGAGAGCTTAGCTTAGAGAAAGATAAAGAGGAGGAGGTGTAGGAAGGGAAGGGAAAGGCTTTGGACTGGAAAGTCTCAGCTAGCTCACAGGCAGTCTTTGAGTCCTGAATGTGTTTTGGAGCCTTCAGATACCAATTGAGATATGTGTCCTATTTGGACTGTGTGATTTTATAGGTGTCATTTTTTTTTTTTAGTTTAGTTTTCAGAAAAACAGACTCTTTGAATAATCTCCATAATGTTTGTATATGTTACCAGCTGGGGTCCCAGAGCTAGGAGCTATATTGGCATGCCTTTGAACTTTGAGAGCCCATTTGTAAATAAATTTATCTAGGTGATTCGGTTTAATGCCGAATACACAAAAGCCAAATTAAACTCTTAAGTGTGCAAATGAATTGGAGTCTAAAGTACATACTTATCAAGAAAGATGATAACTCTTCTCCAGTGGGGAAAAGTCCCTGTAACCAGGAGGGGAAAAAACCCTTTCTAAACAGGAGATCTCATAACCAGGACAGGGAAAGACCTCTCATAACCAATTCCCAAATAAAATCAAGCTCAGTAAAATAAAATAAAAAGAGAGTTTAGTCCAAGAGAGACTCAACAGGCAGTAAAAGAGGCAACCTACAGAAACAGGGGGGCATGGCCAGGCATGGTGGCTCACACCTGTATTCCCAGCACTTTAGGAGGCTGAGGTGGATGAATCACGAAGTCAGGAGTTCGAGATCGGCCTGGCCAATATGGTGAAACCCCATCTCTACTAAAAATACAAAAATTAGCTGGGCATGGTGGTGCCCACCTGTAGTCCCAGCTACTCAGGAGGCTGAGGCAGAAGAATCGCCTGAACCCAGGGGGCAGAGATTGCAGTGAGCCAAGATTGGGCCACTGCACTCCAGCCTGGGTGACAGAAGAAAGAAAGGAAGAGAGAAAGAGAGAAAGGGAGGGAAGGGAGGGAAGGGAAGGAAGGGAAGGAAGGGAAGGGAGAAAGAGAAAGAGAAAGAGAGACAGAAGGAAGGAAGGAAGGAAGGAAGGAAGGAAGGAAGGAAGGAAGGAAGGAAGGAAACAGGGGGTCCAAGGGGCCTGAATGTGGGTACCACAAGCCATAGTTCCAGGGCCTGTTGTTGATCTCTCCAAGGTGAGTCTGCTTCAGACCCCACTTCTGACACCAAGTATGCTGAAATCAAAATAAAATATAGAGATTGTCCAGGCATGGTGGCTTACACCTGTAATCCCAGCACTTTGGGAGGCCAAGCCAAGAGGATTTCTTGAGGCCAGGAGTTCATGACTAGCCTGAGCAACATAGTGAGACCATGTCTCTATAAACTAAAAATTAAAAAATAAAATAAAATTACCTGAGTGTGATGGCACATGTGTAGTCCCAACTACTTGGCAGGTTGAGGCAGAAGAATTGCTTGAGTCCAGGAGTTCAAGGCTGCATTGAGCTGTGATTGCGCCACTGCACTCCAGCCTGAGGCAACAGAGCAAGACCCTGTCTCAAATATATGTGAAATACGTATGAGAGAGAGAGAGAGAGAAATGAATCTGTAAGTGAAATGTTTTATTTGGGAATCATAGAATTGCAATTTGGGGCATACACACAGATGGAGTGTTCTTGGGTATGCCTGAAGAACAAAGAGAAGGTTGGGAGTTTGTATTAGTTAGTTTTCACGCTGCTGATAAAGACGTACCCGAGACTGAGCAATTTACAAAAGAAAGAAGTTTAATGTATTCACAGTCGCACGTGGCTGGAAAGGCCTCACAATCATGGTGGAAGGTAAAAGGCATATCTCACAGGGTGGCAGACAAGGGAAGAGGGCTTGTGCAGGAAAACTACCCTTTATAAAACCATCAGATACTATTCACAACAGCAAAGACTTGGAACCAACCCAAATGTCCAACAATGATAGACTGGATTAAGAAAATGTGACACATATACACCATGGAATACTATGCAGCCATAAAAAATGATGAGTTCATGTCCTTTGTAGGGACATGGATGAAGCTGGAAACCATCATTCTCAGCAAACTATCACAAGGACAAAAAACCAAACACTGCATGTTCTCACTCATAGGTGGGAATTGAACAATGAGAACACTTGGACACAGGATGGGGAACATCACACACCAGGGACTGTTGTGGGGTGGGGGGAGGGGGGAGGGATAGCATTAGGAGAGATACCTAATGCTAAATGACAAGTTAATGGGTGCAGCACACCAACATGGCACATGTATACATATGTAACAAACCTGCACGTTGTGCACATGTACCCTAAAACTTACAGTATAAAAAAACAAAAACAAAAACAAACCATCAGATCTAGTGAGACTTACTCACTAGCATGAGAATAGCACATGAAAGACCTGCTCCCATGATTCAATTACCTCCCCCCCAGGGACCCTCCCACAACATGTGGGAATTAAAGATGAGATGTGGGTGGGGACACAGCCAAACAATATTGGAGTTTTATCAGTAAGACAAGTGTTATGTATTGTTTTGAAAGAAAGCTCATTGGCACGATAGAAGGTTTTGGGAGCTGGCAAGCTCTGACTGGTGAGTGACAGTGGTAAGTAAAACTAGTCTTAGAGTCGCAGCAGGTGATTCCAGCAGCTGCTAAGTAAAACTCATCTTAGGGTTACAGCACATTGTTTTAGTAGCTGGGTTTGTGGATAATTTTTGAAACAGGTGCTATGTGCGGAATGCTTTCCCTCCGCTGGTCCCTAGACTCTGATTTATTTGGGTATGGCAAGAATCACCCAATTCACATAATCAACTTTCACAGAAGTAATTTTGTTGTTGGGATATGAGAGGATGTAACTTTTTGAAGTGCATCAACTTTTAAGAAGTCTCGTTAGGGAATCCACATTGTTATAAAAAATATCTTGAGGTGAGACACAGACACAATGGGCAAAATTCTCCATTAATATTCAGATTTCTTGTATTGCCTGCCCCCCACCCCCCCAACCCCCCATTTTATAAGCAGTTCAAGTCAGGGCTGAAATGCTGTTTGTTTAAGATAGAGAATAGTCACCCAAATGGGAGTCCCTGTGATCTATGGGGCTTTGTGTCAAGCTGAATAGAACCAAGGAAGTTTAGCAATTATTCAACTGTTCCTAAGTGCCAGGTTTCAGCAGCTTAGTATGATTTCATTTAATTCTCACCACAATGTTATTATGTAGAACTGGTAATATTCTCATTTTACCAAAGGAGAAGCCAAAACACAGAGAGGTCAGTAACTTGTCCCAGGCCACAAAGCTGAAGGCTGTGTTCCTCATGGTCTTTGCCCTCATGGGAATTAGGCTCCAGATGGTGAAACAGAGATAAGCTGCAGTGTGTCTCATAGGAAATGGAGATAAAGCTTTCTGGACATTTAGGGGACTTGGAAGAAGGAGGTGAGCACATATGACAGGCTTTTGGGGACAGAGGACCTTGGGGAGACCTGGAAGTGATAGAATTTGGCCTAGAAGCCACATACCATACTGAGAGGCAAGAGAACAGCTCAGATCTTTGAATCTCTTCAGATTACGAAGTCAAACTTAATGAATTCAGATATGCAGCAGCAACAAGGAATGCAGAATAAGCCACGCATGGTCAGCTTCAGGGGGCTTTCCAGGGGGCTGGCATCCCCCTGAGTGTAATTTAGGCCCCAGGCCATTTTTGAAAATAACCTGGAGAGCTTTCTCAGCATGGGAGTCCTTGCCGAATCTGGGAGCTTGGAGCTGCCCCAATCTGTGTGGGTGGGTCGGAGAGTCTGTGCCCAGCCTTAAAGGCGGAAGCTGGTGTTCTGGTGGCCACCTCCAGAAAGTTGCCCTCTCCAGAAAGTCACAAGAGAAACCATAAACCATGCCAGTGAACATGCACTGAGGCCTCATTATTTACTTTACCCAAGTTGCAGTTAACCAACTCAGTTTTCCTTTCCCGTGTGTGTGTGTGTGTGTGTCCTCCCAACACCTACAGACACAGGTTCACCCTTCATTCCTGCTGCGTACAGGCTGTATTTGTGGGATTGCACTGTACTTTCAGGAAGGTCCAGGGAATAAGCACATCCGCCTCATTCACCCTGAGTTTCATTAAGAGCAAGTCCCCTAAGAAAAGAATGAATTTATATCCAAAGATTCTATCCCAACTCACTCAAAAAGATGATTTTCTTTTCTTTTGAAAATATTCTTCTCAGCACAGTACTGACTCTTAGCACACAGTCAAAAGGTTATTAATGGCTTCATTCATCCGTTCAGTGGATATTTATGCTGCAGGAAACCTGTGCTCTTATCTTAGAGCCTGGGTACCAACAGGGTGAATATGCAGGTGGTACCTAATTTGATCGGGTAAAAACATCCTTCTTTCCTTAGGAAGGCAGGTGCTAGGTCCAGATCTGCAGTGTTTGTAGCAAAGCACGTCAATTGTTGAATCTTAGAAGATTTTCTGGGACTCT